>NC_000021.9:7915746-8049839 GCF_000001405.40 Homo sapiens
GATCATTCCTTTCGTGTTCATACTATTTGATTCCATTCCATTCGTGTCCATTAAATTTGGGTCCATTCCATTCCTTTCCATTCCCCTTGATGCCATTCCATTCTGTTGTAATTCATTCGAGTCAATTCCATTCGAGTCCATTCCATTCCATTCGACGCCATTCCATATGATTCTATTCCATTCGAATCCATTCCTTTCCATTCCGTTCCATCTGATTCCATTCCATTCTATTGCTTTCCATTCCATTCCATTCCTTTCCATTGCATTCGAGTCCATTCCACTCCAGTCTGTTCCATTTGAGTCCATTCCATTCCATTCCATTCCATTCCATTCCATTCCATTCCATTCGAGTCCATTCGATTCCATTCGATATCATTCCATTTCACTCTATTCCATTCTATTCCTTTCAATTACATTCAATTCCATTCCATTCGTTTCCATTCCATTCTATTACTATCCATTCGACTCCATTCCTTTGGAGTCCAATCCATTTAATTCCATTCCATTACATTCCATTCCGTTTGATTCCAATCCGTTCAATTCCATTTTGTTCCAGTCCATTCCATTCGATTCCATTCCATTCCCGTCCATTCCATTTGATTCCAGTCCTTTCGAGTCAATTCTATTCCATTCCATTCCATTGGATATCTTTACATTACACTCCCTTTCATTCTATTCTTTCAATTCCATTCAATTCCATTCATTCGGTTCCATTCCATTCGACTCCATTCCATTCGAGTCCATTCCATTCCATTCCATTCCATGCCATTCGATTCTAATAGGTTCGAATCCATTTTGCCCCAGTCCATTACATTCGAGTCCATTCCATTCGATTCCATTCAGTTCGATTCCATTCCATTCAATTCCATTCCACTCGATTCCACTCCTTTCCATTCCATTACATTCCATTCTATTCAATTCCATTGCATTCCATTCCATTCCATTCCATTTAATTATTTTCCATTCGATTCCATTCCATTCGAATCAATTACATTACATTCCATTACATTCAAGTCCATTCTATTCCAGTCCATTCCATTCCGGTCCATTCCATTCGATGGAATTCCATTTGATTCCATTCCATTCTATTGCATTCCATTCGAGTACATTCAATTCGAATAAATTCCATTCTAGACCTTTCCTTTCGAGTCCATTCTATTTCTGCATTGTATTCGAGTCCACTACATTTGGGTACATTCCATTCCACTCCGTTCCATTCTATTCCAATCCATTCCATTCCATTCCATTCCATTCGATGACATTCCATTCAATTGTATTCCTTTTGACTCCATTCCGTTCCATTCAGTTCCATCCAATTCCATTCCATTCTATTCCTTTCCGTTCCATTCCATTCCATTGCATCCCATTCCTTTCCATTTCATTCGAGTCCATTCCTCTCCAGTCCATTCCATTCGAATCCATTCCATTCCAGTCCATTCCATTGGAGTCCATTCCATTCAATTGCATTCAATATATTTCCATTACACTCCAATCCATTTTATTTCTTTTGATTCCATTCAATTCTATTCCATTCAATTCCATTCCATGTGATTCCATTCCATTCGAATCTATTGCATTCAATTCTTTTCAATTCGATTCCATTCCACTCGATTGCACTCCGTTCCATTCCATTGCATTCCATTCTATTTCATTCAATTGCATTCCATTCCTTACCATTTGATTACATTCCATTTGATTCCATTCAACTCGAATCAATTATATTGCAATCCGTTACATTCGAGTACTTTCTATACCAGTCCATACCATTCCACTCCAATACATTCGATTCCATTCCATTTGATTCCAATGTATACTATTTCATTCCATTCCAAAATATTGCATTCCTTTCCATTCCATTCTATTCGAATAAATTCCTTTCGAGACCATTCCATTCGGGTCCATTCTATTTGATTCCATTCCTTTCGAGTCCATTACATTTGCATCCATTCCATTCCATTGCATTCCACTTGATGCTATTCCATTCTGTTCTATTTCATTCGAGTCCATTGCATTTGGGTCCGTTCCACTCCATTCCATTCCATTCCATTCGACTTCATTCCATTAGATTCTACTCCATTCGAATCCATTCCTTTCCATTCCGTTCCATCCGATTCCATTCCATTCTATTCCGTTCCATTCCATTCCATGCCATTTGTTTCCATTCCATTCGAATCCATTCCACTCAAGTCCATTCCATTCGAGTCCATTCCAATTCAGTGCATTCCATTCGATTCCATTCCATTCCATTCCATTCAGTTCCATCCAATTCCATTTCATTCTGCTCCTTTCCATTCCATTCCAGTCGTTTCCATTCATTCGAGTCAATTGCCCTCCAGTCCATTGCATTGGAATCCATTCCATTCGAGTCCATTGCATTCGAGTCCATTCCATTCAAGTCCATTCCATTCCATTCCATTCCATTCCATTCCATTCCATTCCATTCCATTCCACACGATATCATTGCATTGCCCTCCATTCCATTCCACACGATATCTGTGCATTGCACTCTATTCCATTCCATTCCATTCCATTCAATTGTATTCCATTCGATTCCATTCCATTTGATTCCATTTCATTATACTCCATTCCATTCGAGTCTATTACCTTCCATTCCATTAAATTCCATTTCTTTCCATTCGATTGCACTGAGTTCTATTCCATTTTGTCCCAACTCCATTCCACTCGGTTCTATTCCATTCGAATACATTCCATTCCATTCCATTCCATTCCATTCCATTCCATTCCATTCCTCTCGATTCCACTCTGTGGCAGTCCTTTGCTGTCCATTCTATTCCATTCCATTGTTTTCCATTCCATTCCTTTTGATTACATTCCATTCGATTCCATTCCATATGAATCAATTACATTGCAATCCATTGCATTAGATTCCATTCTATTACAGTCCATTAAATTCTGTTCCATTCCACTCCATTCCAATACATTCGATTCCATTCCATTCGGTTCTATTCCATTCGACTCCATTCCATTCCATTCCATCCGATTCCATTCCATTCTATTCCTTTCCATTCCTTTCCATTCTATTCCATTTGTTTCCATTCCGTTTGAGTCCATTCCACTCCAACGCATTCCATTCAAGTCCTTTCCATTCCATTCTATTCCATTCCACTCTATTTGATTCACTTCCACTCAATTCTACTCCGCTCCATTCCCTTGCATTGCATTCCATTCCATTCCTTTCCATTTCATTTGATTACATTCCATTCAATTCCTTTCCATTCAAATCAATTACTTTACAATCAATTATATTTGTGTCCGTTCTAATCCATTCCATTCATTTCCAGTCCATTCCATTCGATTCCATTCAATTCGATTCCATTCCGTACTATTGCATTCTGTTCGATTCCATTCTACTTGAATAAATTCCATTGGAGACCATTCCTATCTAGTCCATTCCATCTGAGTCCATTCCATTCGAGTCCATTACTTTTGTGACCATTCCAATATATTCCATTAAATTCCATTCGATTCTATTCCATGCGAGTCCATTCCATTCGAGTCCATTGCATTCCATTCCATTTGGTGCCATTCCATTCTAATCTATTCCTTTCAACTCCATTAAACTCCATTCCATTCCACCTGACTCCAATCCATTCTATTTCTTTCCGTTCCATTCCATTCCTTTTCATTCCATTCCATTAGAGTCCATTCCACTCCAGCCTACTCCATTTGAGTCCATTCCACCCCAGTCCATTCCATTCGATTCCAATCCTTTCAAGTCTATTCCATTCCATTCCATTCCATTCAATATCTTTCTATTACACTCCATTCCTTTCTACTCCTTTTGATTACATTCAATTCCATTCCATTTGTTTCCATTCCATTCTATTCCATTCCTATCGACTCCATTCCATTCGAGTTCGTTGCATTCTATTCAATTCCCTTACATTCAATGCCACAGCATTCAATTCCATTTTGTTACAGTCCATTCTATTCGAGTCCATTCCATTCCATATCATTCGATGCCATTCCATTCGATTCTATTCCATTCGACTCCCTTCCCTTCCTTTCCATTCCATCCGATTCCATTCCATTCTATTCCTTTCCATTCAGTTCCATTGCATTACATTCAATTGCATTCCTTTCCATTTCATTCGTTTGTATTCCATTCGTCGCCATTCCATTCCATTCCATTCCAACCGATTCCACTACATTCTACACTTTTCCGTTCAATTCCATTCCATTTCATTCCGTTCATTTCTGTTCCATTCGATTCCACTCCACTCCAGTCCATTCCATTCGAGTCCATTCCATTCGAGTCCAATCCATTCCTTTCCATTCGATATCTATCCATTACACTCCATTCCATTCAAATCATTTTGATTCCATTCAATTCCAATCCACTCGATTCCATTTCATTCGATTCCATTCCATTCGACTCCATTCCATTCGATTCCAATCCATTCGATTTCATTCCATTACGTTCGATTCCAATCCTTTCCTTCCCATTTTGTTGAAGTCCATTCCATTCGAGTCCCTTCCCTTCGAGTCCATTCATTTCGATTCCATTCCATTCGATTCCATTCCACTCATTTCCACTCCATTCCATTCCATTGCATTCCATTCTATTCCATTCCACTGCATTCCATTCCATTCCATTTGATTACATTCCATTCAATTCCATTCCATTCGAATCAATTACCTTACAATCCATTACATTCCAGTCTGTTCTATTCTAGTCCATTCCATTCCGGTGCATTACATTCAAATCCATTCCATTCGATTCCATTCCATTTGTTTCCATTCCATACTATTGAATTCCATTCGATTCCATTATTTTCGAATAAATTTCATTCGAGACCATTACTTTCAAGTGCGTTCTATTTGATTCCATTGCATTACAGTCCATTATGTTTGGTCCATTCCATTCCATTCCATTCGATGCCATTCCATTCTAGTCCATTCCATTCCTGTCCATTCCATTCGAGCAGATTCCATTCTATTCCAATCCATTCGATGCCATTTAATTCCATTCTATTCCATTCGACTCCGTTCCATACCATTCCATTCCGTCCGATTTCATTCCATTCTATTCCTTTCCATTCCATTCCATTCCATTTGATGCCATTCCAAATGATTCTATTCCATTCGAGTCCATTCCACTCGTGTCCAATCCATTCCATTGCATTCCATTCCAATCCATTTGATGCGATTTAATTCCATTCTATTCCTCTCGACTCCGTTCCACTCCATTCCGTTCCATCCGTTTGCATTCCATTCTATTCCATTCCATTCCATTCGTTTCCATTCCATTCGAGTCCTTTCCATTTTATTCCATTCCATTCGATATCATTCCATTACACCAAATTCCATTCTATTCATTTTGATTTCATTCAATTCCATTTCATTTGATTCCATTCCATTCGGTTCCAATCCATTCGACTTCATTTGATTCAAGTCCATTCCATTCCAATCCATCCCTTTACATTCCACTGGATTCCAATCCGTTTGATTCCATTTTGTTCCAGTCCATTCCATTGCAGTCCATTCCACTCCATTCCTTTCCATTCGATGGCATTCCATTTGATTCCATTCCACTTAATTCCACTCCATTCCATTCCATTGCATTCCATTATATTCCATTCCATTGCTTACCATTCCATTCAATTTGATAATCTTAAATTCGATTCCATTCCATACAAATCAATTACGTTGCAATCCAATACATTCGAGTCCATTCTATTCCAGTCCATTTCATTCCTGTCCATTCCATTCGATTCTATTCCATTTGATTCCATTCCATACATTTGCATTCCATTCGATTCCATTCTGTTCAAATAAATTCCATTCGAGACCATTCTTTTTGAGTCCAATCTATTTAAGTCCATTCCATTCGAGTCCATTATATTTGGGTACATTCCATTCCATTCCATTCCATTGCATTCCATTTCACTCGATGTCATTCCATTCGATTCTATTCCATTCTTCTCTATTCCATTCTATTTTGTTCAATTTGATTCCATTACATTCTAGTCCTTTCCATTCTATTGTTTCCATTCCTTTCGTTTCCATTCTATTCGAGTCCATTCCATTCAGGTCCATTCCTTTCCATTCCATTTGATGCCATTCCAATCGATTCTATTGCATTCGACTCCATTCCATTCCATTTCTTTCCATCCGATTCCTTTACTTTCTATTCCTTTCCATTTCATTCCATTCCATTCTATTCCATTCCAGTCCATTCCATTCGAGTCCCTTCCATTGCATTCCATTCCACTCGATATCTTTCCATTACACCCAATTCCATTCTATTCCTTTCGATTCCATTCCATTCCGTTCCATTCCAATCCATTCCATTCGGTTCTATTCCATTTGACTCCATTCCTTTCGAGTCCATTGCATTCCATTCAATCCCATTCTGTTAAATTCGATTCCAATCCTTTCGATTCCATTTTGTTGCAGTACATTGCATTCGAGTCCATTCCATTCCATTCCCTTCCATACCATTCGATGCCATTCCATTTGATTCTATTCCATTCGACTCCATTGAATTCCATTCAGTTCAATACGATTCCATTACATTCTATTCCTTTGCATTAAATTCCATTCCATTCCATTCCATTCCATTCCATTCGTTTCCATTCCTGTTGAGTCCATTCCAATCGAGTCCATTCCATTCCCGTCCATTCCATTCGATTCTATTCCATTCGATACCATTCTATAGTTTGCATTCCATTCGATTCCATTCTGTTCAAATAAATTCCATTCGAGACCATTCCTTTCGTGTCCATTCTATTTGGGTCCATTCCATTCGAGTCCATTACATTTGTGTCCATTCCATTCTATTCCTTTCTCTTTGATTCCAATCCATTTGATTCCATTTTTTTCCAGTCCATTCAATTCGAGTTCATTCCATTCCAGTCCATTCGATGACCTTGCAATCGATTCTATTCCATTCTGCTCCATTCCATTCCATTCCGTTCCAACCGATTCCATTTCATTCTATTCCTTTCCATTCCATTCCATTCCATTCCATTCCATTCCAATTGCTTCCATTGCATTCGATTCCAATCCACTCCAGTCCATTCCCTTCAAGTCCATTCCATTCCAGTCCATTCCTTTCGAGTCCATTCCAAGCAATTCCATTCGATGTTTTTCCATTACACTCCTTTCCATTCTCTATCTTTAGATTCCATTCAGTTCCATTCCATTCAATTCAACTGCAGTCAATTAAATTCCATTTGACACCATTCCATTCGAGTTCATTCCACTCCAGTCCATTCCATTCGAGTCCATTCCCTTCCATTCCATTCTATTTGATAGCTTTCTATTACACTCCATTCCATTCTATTGCTTTGGATTCCATTCAATTCCATTCCATTCGATTCCATTCCATTTGACTCCATTCCATTCGAGTCCATTACAATCCATTCCATTCCATTCCATTCCAACGCTTTCGACTCCATTTTTTCCCGTCCATTACCTTCAATTCCATTCCATTTGATTCCATTCTACTCGATTCCTCTCCGTTCCATTCCAATGCATTGCATTCTATTCCATTGCATAGCATTCCATTCCATTCCATTTGATTACATTCCATTCTATTCCATTCCATTCATATCAATTACATTGCATTCCGTTAATTTGCAGTCCGTTCTATTCCATTCCATTCCATTCTGGTCCATTCCATTCAATTCCATTCCATTCGATTCCGTTCCATACTACTGCATTCCATTCAATTACATTCTATTTGATTATATTCCATTCGAGACCATTCCATTCGAGTCCATTCTATTTGAGTACATTCCATTTGAGTCCATTATATTTGGGTCCATTCCTTTCCATGCCATTCCATTCCACTCGATTCCATTCCATTCGATTATATTCAATTCGAGTCCATTCCACTCGAATTCATTCCATTCCATTCCATTCCATTCCATTCCATTCCAGTCCATTCCGTTTGATGCCATTCCATTCGACTCCATTCCAGTCGAAGCCACTCCTGTCCACTCCATTCAATTCCATTCCTTTCTATTCCAATCCGTTTGATTCCATTTTGTGCCAGTCCATTCTATTGAAGTCCATTCAATTCCAGTCCGTTCCATTCGATTCCATTCCATTTGATTCCATTCCACTCAATTCCACTCTGTTACATTCCATTGCATTCCATTCTATTCCATTCCATTGCATTCCATTCCATTCTATTTGATTACATTGCATTCGATTCCATTCCATTCGATTCCATTCCATTCCAATCAATTATATGGCAATCCATTACATTCGAGTCCATTCTATTCTATTCCATTCCATTCCAGTCCATTCCATTCGATTACATTCCAGTCGATTCAATTCCATACTATTGCATTTCATTCGATTCCATTCTATTTGAATAAATTCCATTAGTGACCATTCCATTTGAGTCCATTCTATTTGATTCAATTCCATTCGAGCCCATTACATTTCAGTCCAATCCATTCCATTCCTCTCCTTTCCAATACATTCGATGCCACTCCATTCAATTCTATTCCATTTGAGTCCATTACCTTCGAGTCCATTCCATTCCATTGCATTCCATTCGATGCCATTCTACTCGATTCTATTCCATTTAACTCCAATTCTTTCCATTCCGTTCCATCCGATTCCTTTCTCTTCTATTCCTTTCCATTCTATTCAATTCCATTCCATTCATTATATTTCCATTACACTCCATTCCATTCTATTCCTTTTGATTCTATTCAATTCCATTCCATTCGATTCCATTCCACTTGGTTCCATTCCATTCCACTCCATTCCACTCCATTCCATTCGTTATATTTCCATCACACTCCTTTCCATTCTATTCCTTTCTATTCCATTCAATTCCATTCCATTCGATTCCATTCCATTCGGTTCCATTCCATTCGACTCCAATCCATTCGACTCCGTTCCATTCCAATCCGTTCCGTTCATTTCGATTCCAATCCGCTCCATTACATTTTGTTCCAGTCCATTACATTCCAGTACATTCCATTCGATTCCATTCCATTCATTTGCATTCCATTCAATTCCATTCCACTCAATTCCACTCCGTTCCACTCCATTACATTCCATTCTATTCCATTCCATTGCACTCCATTCCATTCCATTTGATTACATTCCATTCGATTCCATTCCATTCGAATCAATTACATTGCAGTCCATTACATTCATGCCCTTTCTATTAAAGTCCAGTCCATTATGGTCCATTCCATTCCATTCTATTCCATTCCATTCGAATCAATTACTTTGCAATCCATCACATTCGAGTACGTTCTGTTCCAGTCCATTCAATTCTGGTCTATTCCATTCAATTCCACTCCATTTGATTCCATTCCATTCTAGTACATTCCGCTGGATTCCATCCTATTCAAATAAGTTCCATTCGAGACCATTTCTTCGAGTCAAATCAATTTGAGTCCATTCCATTCAAGTCCATTACATCTGGGTCTATTCCATTCCATTCCATTCCATTCCATTCGATGCCATTCAATTTGATTCATTTCCTTTCAACTCCATTCCATTCCATTCAGTTCCATCCGATTCCATTCCATTGTATTCCTTTCCATTTCATTGCATTCCATTCCATTCCACTGGAGACCATTCCACTCAAGTGCATTTCATTTGAGTCTATTCCATTCCATTCCATTCCAGTCGATATCTTTCCATTACACTTCATTCCATTCTATTCCTTTACAATCCATTCAATTCCATTCTATTTGATTCCATTCAATACAATTCCATTACATTCGACTCCATTTCATTCGAGTCCATTGCATTCCATTCCATTCCATTCCTTTATGTTCTATTCCATTCCATTCGATTCCGTTTTGTTCCAGTCCATTCCACTCGAGTCCATTGCATTACAGTGCAAACCATTTGATTCCATTCCATTCGATTCTATTCCACTCCGTTCCATTCCTTTGCGTTCCTTTCTATTCCATTCAATTGCATTCCATTCCATTCCATTTGATTACATTCCATTGAATTCCAATCCATTTGAATCAATTACATTGCAGTCCATTACATTCGAGTTTGTTCTATTCCAGTCCATTCCACTCTGGTGCATTCCATTCGATTCCATTCCATTTGATACCATTCCATACTATTGCATTCCATTCGATTCCATTCCATTCGATACCATTCCATACTATTGCATTCCTTTCGATTCCATTCTTTTCGAATAAATTCCATTCGAGACCATTCCTTTCGTGTCCATTCTATTTGACTCCATTCTATTCAAGTCCATTAAATTTGTGCACATACCATTCCATTCCATTCGGTGCCATTCCAGTCCACTCTATTCCATTCAAGTCCATTACATTCGAATCCATTCCATTCCATTCGATGCCATTCGATTCGATTCTATTCCATTCGACTCCATTCCATTCCATTCCCTTCCAAACGGTTCCATTCCATTCTATTACTTTCCATTCCATTTCATTCCATTCCATTCCATTCCATTCCATTCCATTCCATTCCATTCCATTCCATTTCGTTCCGTTCCTTTCTGTTCCGTTCCGTTTTGTTCCATTCCATTCCATTCCATTCCATTCCATTCCATTTCATTCCATTCCATTCCATTTGCTTCCATTCCATTAGAGTCCATTCCACTCCAGTCCATTCCATTCGTGTCCATTCCATTCGTGTCCACTGCATTCCATTCCACTCCATTCCATATTATTCCATTACACTCCATTCTATTCTGTTACTTTCATTTCCATTCAATTCCATTCCATTTGATTCCATCCCACTCGGTTTCATTCCATTCGACTCCATTCCATTTGAGTCCATTCCATTCCATTCCATACAGTTCCATTCCATTTGAGTCCATTCCATTCCATTCCATACAGTTCCATTCCATTCCGTTCCATTCCATTCCATTCCATTCCATTATGTTCCATTCCATTCCATTCCATTCCATTCCATTCCATTCCATTCCATTCGCTTCCATTCCATTTTGTTCCATTCCATTTTGTTCCGTTCCATTCCATTCGAATCCATTCCATTCCATTCCATTCCATTTCATTCCATTCGACTGCATTCCATTCGAATCAATTGTTTTGCAATCCCTTACATTCAAGTCTGTTCTATTCCAGGCCATTACATTCTGGTCCATTCCATTCGATTCCATTCCATTTGATTCCATTCCATTCTATTGCATTCCATTCGATTCCATTCTATTCGAATAAATTCCATTCGAGACCATTTCTTTCGAGTCCATTCCATTCGAGTCCATTACATTTGGGTCTATTCCGTTCCGTTCCATTCCATTCCAATCCATTCAATGTCATTCCATGTGATTCTATTCCATTAGACTCCATTCCATTTCATTCCATTCCATCCGATTCCATTCCATTCTATTCCTTTCCATTCCATTCCATTCCATTCGTTTACAATCCATTTGAGCCCATTCAACTCCAGTGCCTTTCATTTGAGTCCATTCCATTGCATTCCATTCCATTCCACTCCATTCCATTCCATTCCAATTGATTCGATTCCCTTCCACTCAATTCCACTCCATTTCATTCCATTGCATTCCATTCCATTCCATTCCATTCCATTCCATTCCATTCCATTCCATTCCATTCCATTCCTTTCCATTCCATTTGATTACATTCGATTCAAGTCCATTCTATTCGAATCTGTTACTTTTCAATCGATTATATTTGAGTCCGTTCTAATCCAGTCCATTCCATTCTGGTACGTTCCTTTTGATTGCATTCCATTCGAATACATTCCATACTATTGCATTCCATTCGATTCCATTGTATTAGAATAAATTGCGTTCGAGACCTACCTTTCAAGTCCATTCTTTTTCAGCCCATTCCATTCAATTCCATTACATTTGGGTCCATTCCATTCCATTCCATTGCATTCGATGCTATTCCATTCGAATCTATTACTTTCGTGTATATTCCATTCCATTCCATTCCATTCCATTCCATTCTGTATTTTTCCATTAAACTCCATTCCATTCTATTCCTGTCGATTGCATTCAATTCCATTCCATTCGATTCCTGTCCATTTGATTCCATTCCATTCAACTCCATTCCATTCAAGTCCATTCCATTCCATTCCATTCAATTCCATTCCATTCGATTCCAATCCATTCAATTCCACTTTGTTCAAGTCGTTTCCAATAGAGTCCATTCCATTCCAGTCCATTCCATTCGATTCCTTTCCATTCGATTCCATTCCATTCTATTCTGTTCCATCCGATTTCATTGCACTCTATTCCCTTCCCTTCCATTCCATTCTATTCCATTCCATTCAATGCCATTCAATTCTATTCTATTCCTTTTGAGTCCATTGCATTCGAGTCCATACCATTTCAATCCATTCCATTCCATAACATTCGATGCCATTCCATTCGATTCTACTCCATTAGATTCCATTCCATTCCATTCTGTTCCATCTGATTCCATTGCATTCTATTCCCTTCTCTTCCATTCCCTTCTCTTCCATTCCATTCGATGCCATTCAATTCTATTCTATTCCCTTTGAATCCATTTCATTCGAGTCCATACCATTTCAATCCATTCCATTCCATTCGATGCCATTCCATTCAATTCTATTCTATTTGACTCAGTTAAACTCCATTCCTTTCCATCCAATTCCTTTCCTTTCTATTCCTTTCCACTGCATTCCAATCCATTCCATTCGATTCCATTCCATTCAATTCCATTCTTCTCCAGTCCATTCCTTTCGAGTCCATTCCATTGCAGTCCATTCCATTCGAGTCCATTCCATTCCATTCCGTTCGATAACTTTCCATTAATCTCCATTCCATTCTATTCCTTTCGATTCCATTCAATTCCATTCCATTCGATATCTTTCCATTACACTCCATTCCATTCTGTTCCTTTCGATTCCATTCAATTCCACTCCATTCGATTCCATTCCACTCGATTCCATTCCATTCAACTCCATGCCGTTCATGTCCATTCCATTCCATTCCGTTCCATTCTATTCCAATCCGTCACTTTCCATTTTGTTCCAGTCAATTCCACTCGAGTCCATTCCATTGCAGTCCATTCCATTCGAGTCCATTCCATTCCATTCCATTCGATATCTTTCCATTACTCTCCATTCCATTCTATTCCTTTCGATTCCATTCAATTCCATTCCATTCGATATCTTTCCTTTACACTCCATTCCATTCTATTCCTTTTGATTCCATTCAGTTCCATTCCATTCAATTCCATTCCATTCAATTCCATTCCATTCGACTCCATGCCATTCATGTCCATTCCATTCCATTCCATTCCGTTCCATTTGATTCCAATACGTTACTTTCCATTTTGTTCCAGTCAATAACACTCGAGTACATTCCATTGCAGTCCATTCCATTTGATTCCCTTCCATTCGATTCGATTAAATTCCATTTGATTCCATTCCACTAAATTTCATTCTATTCCATTCCATTGCATTCCATTCTATTCCATTCCATTGCATTCCATTCTATTCCATTCCATTACATTCCATTCCATTCCATTTGATTTCATTCCATTCAATTCCAAGGCATTCAAATGAATTACATTACAATCCATTACATTCGAGTCCTTTCTATTCCAGTCCATTCCATTCTTGTCCATTCCATTTGATTCAACTCCATTCAATACCATTTGATACTATTGCACTCCTTTGGATTCCATTCTATTTGAATAAATTCCATTTGAGACCATTCCTTTTGAGTCCATTCTATTTGAGTCCATTCCATTCGTGTCCATTACATTTGGGTCCGTTCCATTGCATTCCATTCCATTCCTTTCTATTCCATTTGATACCATTACATTAGAATCTATTCCATTAGAGCCCATTCCATTCGAATGCATTCCATTCCATTCCATTCCATGCCATTCGATTCGATTCTATTCTATTCGACTCCATTCCATTTCATTCGGTTCCATCTGATTCCACTCCATTCTTGCCCTTTCCATACCATTCCATTCCATTGGTTTCCATTCCATTGGAGTCCATTCCACTCCATCCCATTCCATTCGAGTCCATTCCATTCCAGTCCATTTCATTTGAGTCCATTCCATTCCATTCAATTCCACTTGATATCTTTCCTTTTCATTCCTTTCCATTCTTTTCCTTTCGATTCCATTCAATTCCATTCCATTCGATTCCATTCCACTGTATTCCTTTCCATTCGACTCCATTCCATTCGAATCCATTCCTTTTCATTCCATTCCATTCCATTCCTTTCTGTTCGACTTCATTCCGTTCGATTCCTATTTGTTGCAGTCCATTCCATTCGAGTCCATTCCATTCCAGTCCATTCAATTCGATTCCATTCCATTCGATTCCCTTCCATTTGATTCCATTCCACTCGTTTCCACTCCATTGCATTCCATTGCATTCCATTCTATTCCATTCCATTGCATATCATTACATTTCCTATGATTACATTCCATTTGATTCCATTCAGCTCAAATCAATTGGATTGCAATCTATTACATTCGAGTCCGTTCTATTCCAGTCCATTCCATTCTCGTCCATTACTTTCGATTCCATTCCATACTATTGCATTCCATTCGATTCCACTGTATTCGAATAAATTCCATTCAAGACCATTCCTTTTTAATCCATTCTATTTGAGTCTATTACATTCAAGTCCATTACATTTGGGTCCATCCAATTCCAGTCCATACCATTCGATGTCATTCCATTCTATTCTATTCCATTCTACTCCATTCCATTCCATTAAATTCCATTCCATTCTGTTCCATTCGATTCCAATCCATTACATTCCATTTTGTTCCAGTCAGTTCCACTCAAGTCCATTCCATTTTATTCCATTCAATTCCACTCGAGTACATTCCATTCCAGTCCATTCCATTCGATTCCATTCCTTTCGATTCCATTCCATTCAATTCGATTAAATTCCATTTGATTCCATTCCACTCTATTCCATTCTGTTCCATTCCACTGCATGCCATTCTATTCCATTCCTTTGCATTCCATTCCATTTCGTTTGATTACATTCCATTCAATTTCAAGGCATTCGAATCAATTACATTTCCATCCATTACATTCGAGTGTTTTCTATTCCAGTCCATTCCATTCCAGTCCATTCCATTTGATTAAATTCCATTCGATTCATTTAGATACTATTACATTCCTTTCGATTCCATTCTATTCGAATAAATTCCATTCGAGACCATTCCTTTCGAGTCCATTCTATTTGACTGCATTCCATTCGTGTACATTACATCTGGGTCCGTTCCATTGCATTCCATTCCATTCCTTTCCATTCCATTCCATGTCATTACTTTCGATTCTATTCCATTAGAGTCCATTCCATTCGAGTCCATTCCATTCCATTCCATTCGATGTCATTCCACACGATTCTATTCCATTCGATTCCATTCCATTCCATTCAGTTCCATCCTATTCCATTCCATTGTAGTCCTTTCCATTCCATTCCATTCATTTCCTTTCCATTCGAGCCCATTCCACTCCAGTCCATTTCATTCGAGTCCATTCCACTCCAGTCCATTTCATTCCATTCCATTCCGTTCAATTCCATTTGATATCTTTCCATTTCACTCCGTTCCATTCCATTGCATTCTATTTAATTGCATTTCATTCCACTCCATTCCATTCGTGTCCATTCCTTTTCATTCCTTTCCATTCCATTGCATTCTGTTCTACTTCAATCCATTCGATTCCATTTTCTTCCAGTCCATTCCATTCGAGTCCATTCCATTCCAGTCCATTTGATTTGATTCCATTCCATTTGATTCCCTTCCTTTCGATTCCATTCCACTCAATTCCACTCCGTTCCTTTCCATTGAATTCCATTCCATTCCATTCCATTGCATACCATTGCATTCCATATGATTTCATTCCATTTGATTCCATACAACTCAAATCAATTGGATTGCAATGAATTACAATCGAAACCATTTTATTCCAGTCCATTCCATTCTGGTCCATTCCATTTAATTCCATTCCATACTATTGCGTTCCATTTGATTGCACTGTATTCGAATAAATTCCATTAGAGACCATTCCTTTTTAATAAATTATATTTGAGTCTATTGCATTCGAGTTCAATACATTTGGGTCCATCCAATTCCATTCCATTCCATTCGATGCCATTGCATTCGATTCTATTCCATTCGAGTCCATTCCATTTGATTCCATTCCGTTCCATTCCATTCCATTCGATCACATTCCTTTCGATTCCATTCTGCTCCAGTCCATTCCATTCGAGTACTTTCCATTCGAGTCCGTTCCATTGGAATCCATTCCATTCCATTCCATTGCTTTCGATATCTTTCCATTACACTCCATTCCATTCTATTTCTTAAGATTCAATTCAATTCCATTCCTTTCTGTTTCGTTCCATTTGACTCCATTCCATTCAAGTCCATTCCATTTCATTCCATTCTGTCCGATTCAATTCCGTTCAATTCCATTTTGATCCAATCCAATCCGTTCGAGTCCATTCTATTTGTTTCCCTTCCATTCCATTCCATTCCTTTCGATGCCATTCCATTCAATTCTATTCAAGTCCATTCCGTCTGAGTCCATTCGATTCCATTCCAATCCACTCCATTCCATTAGATGCCATTCCATTTGATTCTAATCCACTCAACTCCATTCCATTCCATTCCTTTCCATCCGATTCCATTCCGTTCTATTCCTTTCCATTCCATTCCATTCCATTCCATTCATTTCCATTGCTTTTGAGTTTTTTCCTCTCCAGTCCATTCCATTCGAGTCCATTCCATTGCAATCCACTTGATTCGAGTCCATTCCATTCCATTACTTTCATTCGATAACTTTCCTTTACACTCCATTCCTTTCTATTCCTTTCTATTCATTTCGATTCTATTCAATTCTATTCCATTCGATTCCATTCCATTCTACTGCATTCCTTTCTAGTCCATTCCATTCCATTCGATATCTTTCCATTACACTCCATTCCACTCTATTCCTTTCAATTCCTTTCAGTTGCATTCCATTCTAGTCCATTCCATTAAAATCCACTCCATTCGATTCCATTCCATTCCATTCCTTTTGATTCGATATCTTTCCTTTACACTCCATTCCTTTCTATTCCTTTCGGTTCTATTCAATTCCATTCCATTCGATTCCATTCCATTCGATTCCATTTCATTCGACTCCATTCCATTCGAGTCCATTCCATTCCATTCAATTCCATTCGATATCTTCCATTCCATTCCATTCCATTCTATTCCTTTGAATTCCATTCAATTCAATTCCATTCGAGTCCATTCTATTGCATTCCATTCCATTCCGTTCTGTTCGATTCCAATCCATTCGATTCTACTTTGTTCCAGTCCATTCCATTCGAATCCATTCCCTTCCAGTGCATCCCATTTGATTCCATTCCATTCGACTCCATTCCACTCGATTCCACTCCGTTCCATTCTATTACATTCTATTCTATTCCATTCCATTGCATTCCATTCCATTCCATTTTATTACACTCCTTTCGATTCCATTCCATTCGAATCAATTACATTGTAATCCATTACATTCGATTCCATTCTATTCCAGTCCATTCCATTCCTGTCCATTCCATTTCGTTAGATTACATTTGATTCCATTAAATACTATTGCAGTCTATTCAATTCCATTCTATTAGAATAAATTCCTTTCGAGACCATTCCTTTCGAGTCCATTCTATTTGAGTCCATTTCTTTCGACTCCATTACATTTGGGTCCATTCCATTCCATTCCTTTCCAGTCCATTACATTGCAGTCGCTGCCAGTCCATTCGATTCTATTCCATTTGAGTCCATTACATTTGGGTCCATTCCATTCCACTCCATTCCATTCGATTCTATTCCATTTGAGTCCATTCCATTCGGGTCCATTCCATTCGATGCCATTCCATTCGAGTCCATTTCACTCCAGTCGATTCCATTCGATGCCATTCCATTCGAGTCCATTTCATTCGAATCCATTCCATTGCATTCCATTCGATTCTATTCCATTCGACTCCATTCCCTTTCTTTCCATTCCATGAAATTCCATTCCATTCTATTCCTTTCCATTCCATTCCAATGTATTACATTCCATTCCGTTCGTGTCCATTCCACTCCAGTCCATTCCATTCGAGTCCATTCCATTCCAGTGCATTCCATTCGAGTCAATTCCATTTAATTCCATTAGACATTTTTCCGTTTCACTCCATTTAATTCTGTTTCTTTCGTTTCCAATCAATTCCATTCCATTTGATTCCGTTACATTCGATTCCATTCCATTCTACTCCATTCCTTTTGACTCCATTTCTTTCCATTTCATTGCATTCCGTTCCGTTCGTTGCCAATGCGTTTGATTCCATTTTGTTCCTGTCCATTCCATTCGAGTCCATTCCATTCGAGTCCATTCCATTAGATTCCATTCCATTCGATTCCATGCCACTCGACTCCACTCTGTTCCATTCCATTGCGTTGCCTTCTATTCCATTTCTTTGCATTCCATTCCATTCCAGTGCATTCCATTCGTTTCCATTCTATTAGACTCCATTCCACTCCAGTTCATTCCTTTCGAGTCCATTACATTCCAGTCCATTCCACTCGAATCCAATCCATTCCATTCCATTCGACATCTTTCCATTACACTCCATTCCATTCTATTAATTTTGATTCTAATCAATTCCATTCCAATAGAACACCTTCCTTTCGATTCCATTCCTTTCGACTCCTTTCCATTCGAGTCCATTCTATTCCATTCTATTCCATTCCATTAAATTCCATTCCTTTGATTACATTCCATTCGATTCCATTCCACTCGATTCCACTCCGTTACATTTTATTGCATTCCGTTCTATTCCATTCCATTGAGTACCATTCCATTCTATTCTATTCCATTCGAGTCGATTTCTTTAGAGCCCATTCCATTCCATTCCATTCGATGTCATTCCGTTTGATTCTTTTCCATTTGAATCCATTCCATTCCATTCTGTTCCATCCGTTTCCATTCCATTCTGTTCCATCCATTTCCATTCCATTCTATTCCTTTCCATTCCATTCCATTCCATTTGTTTCCATTTCATTCGATTCATTCTATTCGAATAAATTCCATTAGAGACCGTTCCTTTCGAGTCCATTCTGTTTGAGTCTATTCCATTCCAGTCCATTACATTTGGTTCCATTCCATTCCCTTCCATTCCTTTCCATTCCATACGTTGCCATTCCATTCATTTCTATTCCATTCGACTCCATTCCATTCCATTCCATTCCATCCGATTCTATTTCATTCTATTCCTTTCCATTCCACTCCATTCCATTCGTGTCCATTCCATTTGAGTCCGTTCCAATCCAGTCCATTCCATTCGACTCCATTACACTCCAGTCCATTCCATTTGAATCCATTCCATTCCAGTCCATTCCATTCAAGTCCATTCCATTCCATGCCATTCCATTCGATATCTTTCCATTACAATCCTTTCCATTCTATTCTTTTTATTCCGTTCAATTCCATTCCATGTAATTCCATTCCATTCGATTCCATTCCATTCGACTCCATTCCGTTTGAGACCATTACATTCCATTTCGTTCAATTTGATTGCAATCCGTTCGATTCCATTTTGTTCCAGTATATTCCGTTCAAGTCCATTCAATTCCAGTCCATTCCATTCGATTCCAGTCCATTCGATTCCATTCCATTCCAATTGATTCTTCTCCGTTCCATTACATTGCATTCCATTCTATACCATTCCATTCCTTTTGGTTACATTAAATTCGATTTCATTCCATTCGAGTCAATTACTTTGCAATCCATTACATTCGAGTCCGTTCTATTCCAGTACATTCCATTCGATTCCATTCCATTGCATTCCATTCCATACTATTGCATTCCATTTGGTCCCAAAGTTTTCGAATAAATTCCATTCGAGGCCATTCCTTTAGAGTCCATTCTACTTGAGTCCATTCCATTCGAGTCCATTACATTTGGATCCATTTCATTCCATCCCAATCCATTCCATTCCATTCGGATCCATTTCATTCCATTCCATTCCATTCGATGCCATTCCATACAATTATGTTCCATAGGTGTCCATTCCTTTCGAATCCATTCCATTCCATTCCATTCCGTTCCATGAGATTACAATCCATTCGATTGCATTCCATTCAAATCAATTACTTTTCAATGCCTTAAATTGTAGTCTGTTCCATTCCAGTCCATTCCATTCCTGTCCATTCCATTCGATTCCATTCCATACTATTGCATTCAATTTGATTCCATTCTCTTCGAATAAATTCCATTCAAGACAATTCCTCTTGAGTCCATTCCATTCGAATCAATTCCATTCAATTCCATTCCATTCGTTTCCATTCCTCTCGATTCCACTCCATTCCATTCTATTGCATTCCATTCTGTTCCATTCCCTTGCATTCCTTTCCATTCCATTTGACTACATTAAATTCAATTCCATTTCATTTGAGTCAATTACATTGCAATCCATTACATTCGAGTGTGTTGTATTCCAGTTCATTCCATTCCATTCCATTCCATTCCATTGGATTCTATTCCATACTATTTCATTCCTTTCAAATCCATGCTATTCGAATAAATTCCATTCAAGACCATTCCCTTCCAATCCATTCTATTTCAGTCCCTTCAATTCGAGTCCATTGCAATGGGGTCCATTCCATTTGTTTCCATTCCATTCACTTCGATGCCATTCCATTCCATTCTATTCCACTTGAGTCCATTCCGTTCGAGTCCATTCCATTCCATTCCACTCCATTCCATTCAATTCCATTGCATTCAATTCTATTCCATTCGACTCCATTCCATTACATTCCATTCCATCCGATTACATTCCATTCCACCCGATTCCATTCCATTCTATTCCTTTCCATTCCATTCCATTCATTCCATTCCATTCCATTCCATATTTCCATTCCATTCGATTCCATTCCACTCCAGGACATTACATTCCAGTCCATACCATTAGAGTCCATTCCATTAGAGTCCATTTCATTACATTCCATTCCATTTGATATATTTCCTTTCCATTCCATTCCATTCCATTGTATTCCTTTCGATTCCATTCAACTCTACACCATTCTATTGCATTTCATTCAACTCCATTCCATTCGATTCCATTCCAATCCATTCCATTAAATTTCGTTCTGTTCGATTCCAATCCGTTCAATTCCTTTTTTTCCGGTCCATTCCATTCGAGTCCATTCCATTCCAGGCCATTCCAATCGGTTCCATTCCACTCGATTACATTCCATTTGATTCCATTCCATTTGATTCCACTCCATTCCATTCCATTGCATTCCATTCTATTTCATTCCATTCCATTTGATTACATTCGATTCGATTCTATTCCCTTCAAATCAATTACATTTCAGTCCAATACATTCGAGTCCGTTCTATTCCATTCCATTCCATTCCATTCTGTTCCATTCCTTTTGATTCCATTCCATTCCATTCCCTTCCATACTGTTCCATTACATTCGACTCTATTCTATTTGAATAAATTCCATTCGAAGCCAATTCTTTCAAGTCCATTTTTTTTAGTCCCTTCCATTCGAGTCCATTACATTTGGGTCAATTGCATTCCATTCCTTTCCATTCCATTTGATGCCATTCCATTCGATTCTATTCCATTCGAGTCCATTCCTTTCCAGTCCATTCCATTCGTTGCCATTCGATTCGATTCTATTCCATTCCACTCCATTCCATTACGTTCCATCCGATTCCAATCCATTCTATTCCTTTCCATTCCAATCCAATCTGCTCGATTCCATTCCATTCATTGCGATCCATTTCATTCGTTTCATTTCCATTCGCGTCATTTCCACTCCACTCCATTCCATTAGAGTCCATTCAATTCCACTACATTCCATTTGACTCCTTTCCATTCGATTTCTTTCCATTAAAACCATTCCATTCTATTCCTTTGGATTCTATTAAATTCCATTCTTTTCCATTCCATTCCATACCATTCCATTCCATTCCATTTGACTCCATTTCATTCGAGTCCATTCCATTCAATTCCATTCTGTTCCATTCTATTCCAATCTATTCAATTCCACTTTCTTCCAGTCCAATCCATTCGAGTCCATTACATTCCAATCCATTCCAATCGATTCCATTCCTTTCTATTCCATTCCGTTGAATTCCATTCCATTCGATTCCAGTCCAATCCATTCCACTGCATTACTTTCTATTCCATTCCAATGCATTCCATTCCACTCCGTTTGATCACATTCCATTCGATTCCATTCCATTCAAATCAATTACATTACAAACCATTACGTATGATTCCATTCTATTCCTGTCCATTCCATTCCTGTCCATTACATTTGATTCTATTCCATTAGAATCCATTCCATACTATTGCATTCCATTCGATTCCATTCTATTCGAATAAATTCCATTCGAGACCATTCCTTTTGAGTTCATTCCTTTTGAGTCCATTCCATTTGAGTACGTTACATTTGGTTCCATTCCGTTCCATTCCATTCCATTCCATTAGATGCCATTCCATTTGATTCTAATCCATTCGAGTCCATTCCATTCGACTTCATTCCATTCCATTCAATTCCATTCCATTCAATTCCATTCCATTTCATTCCATTCCATTCCATTTCATTCCATTCCATTCCATTTCATTCCATTCCATTTCATTCCATTCCATTCCATTTCATTCCATTCCATTCCATTTCATTCCATTCCATTCCATTTCATTCCATTCCATTCCATTCGAAGCAATTCCTTTGGATTCTATTCCGTTCAACTCCATTCCATTTCATTCCATTTCAACCGATTCCATTCCATTTCATTCCATTCCATCCGATTCCATTCCATTCCATTCCACCCGATTCCATTCCATTCCATTCCACTCGTTTCCATTACATTCGTGTCCATTCCACTCCAGTCCATTCCATTTGAGTAAACTGCAATCCAGTCCATTCCATTGAAGTCCATACCATTCTATTTGATATCTTTCCATTACACTCCCTTACATTCCATTCCATTCGATGCCATTTCATTCCATTCCATTCCATTCAAGTCCATTCCATTAGAGACCATTTCATTCCATTGTGTTCCATCCCTTCCGCTTCCATTCCATTCCATTCCATTTCATTCCATTCCATTCGTGTTCATTACATTCGAGACCATTCCACTCCAGTCCATTAAATTCAAGACCATTCCATTCCAGTCCATTCCATTCCGTTCTGCTCAATTCCAATGCGTTCAATTCCATTATGTGCCAGTCCAGTCCATTCCAGTCCATTCCATTCGATTCCATTCCATTTGATTCTATTCCATACTATTGCATTCCATTCGATTCCATTCTTTTGAATAAATTGCATTCGAGTCCATTCCTTTTGGGTCCATTCTATTTGAGTCCATTCCATACGAGTCCATTATATTTGGGTCCATTCCACACTATTCCATTCCATTCCATTCCATTCCATTCCATTCCATGCCCTTCCATTCCATTCTATTCCATTGAGTCCACTCCATTCGAGTTCATTCCATTCCATTCCATTTGATGCCATACTATTCTATACTATTCCATTTGACTCCATTCCATTCCATTCCATTGGATGCCATATCATTCTATTCTATTCCATTTGACTCCATTCCATTCCATTACTTTCCATCCGATTCCATTCCTTTCTATTCCTTTTCATTCCGTTCCCTTCCATTGCGTTGCATTCCATTCCATTCCATTGGTTTCCATTCCATTTGCGTTCATTCAACTCCAGTACATTCCATTCGATTCCATTCCCTTCGACTCCCTTCCAATCGAGTCCATTCCATTCCATTCAATTCCTTTCAGTTTGATTCCAATCCGTTCAATTCCATTTTGTTCCAGTCCATTCCATTTGAATCCTTTCCATTCCAGTCCATTCCTTTCAATTCCATTCCATTCGAAGCCATTCCATTGGATTCTATTCCATTCAACTCCATTCCATTCCATATCATTCCATCCGATTCCATTCCATTCTATTCCTTTATATTTCATTCCCTTCCTTTCCATTCCATGACATTCCATTCGTCTCCATTCCATTCGAGCCCATTCCTCTCCAGTCCATTCCATTCGCGTGAATTCCATTACAGTCCTTTCCATTCCATTACTTTCCATTCAATATCTTTCCATTGCACTCCATTCCATTCTCTTCCTTTCGATTCCATTCAATTCCATTCCATTCGGTTCGATTCCATACTATTGCATTCCATTCAATTCCATTCCATTCGTATAAATTACATTCGAGACCATTTCTTTCGAGTCCATTATATTTGAGCCCATTCCATTCGATTCCACTACATTTGGGTCCATACCATTCCATTCCATTCCATTCCATTCGATCCCAAACCATTTTTTTTCTATTCCATTCGAGTCCATTCCAATCAAGTCCAATCCATTCCATTTGATGAAATTCCATTCGATTATATTCCATTCGAGTTGATTTCATTCCATTTGGTTCCATCCGATTACATTCCATTCTATTCCGTTCCTTTCCATTCCATTCCATTCCATTCTTTTCCAATCCATGCGAATCCATTCCACTCCAGTCCATTCCATTCGTGTCCCTTCCATTCCAGTCCATGCCTTTCGAGTCCATTCCATTCCATTCCCTTCAATGTCTTTCAATTACACTCCATTCCATTCTATTTCATTCGATTCCATTCAATTCAACTCTATTCGATTCCCTTCACTTCGATTCCAATCCATTCGACTCCATTCCATTCGAGTCCATTTCATTCCATTCCAATGCATTCTGTTCCTTTCCATACCAATCCGTTTGATTCCATTTAGTTCCAGTACATTGCATTCGAGTCCATTCCATTCCATTCCATTCGAAGCCATTGCATTCGATTTTATTGCATTGAACTCCATTCCATTCCATTCCTTTCCATCCGATTCCATTCCATTTTAGTCCTTTCCATTCCATTCCATTCTATTCGTTTAAATTCCAATTGAGTCCATTCCACTCCAGTCCATTCCATTTGAGTCCATTGCGTTCCAGTCCATTCCATTCGAGTCCATTCCTCTCCATTCCTTTCCATTTGATATCTTTCCATTGCACTCCATTCCTTTCTATTCCTTTCGATTCTGTTCAATTCCATTCCATTCGATTCCAATCCATACTATTGCATTCCATTCAATTCCATTCTATCATATAAATTACATTCGAGACCATTTATTTCGAGTCCATTCAATTTGAGCCCATTCAAGTCCATTACTTTTGGGTCCATTCCATTCTGTTCCATTCCATTCCATTCGATCCCATTACATTTGTTTCTATTCCATTCGAGTCCATTCCAATCGAGTCCATTCCATTCCATTCATTGAAATTCCATTCGATTCTATTTCATTCGAGTTGATACCATTCCATTCCGTTCAATCTGATTCCATTCCATTCTATTCCATTCCATTCCATTCCATTCCATTCCATTCCATTCGTTTCCATGCCATTTCAATCCATTCCACTCCAGTCCATTCCTTTCGAGTCCATTCCATTCCAGTCCATTGCATTCAAGTCCATTCCATTCCATTCCATTCGAAGCCATTGCATTCAAATTTATTCCATTCGACTCCATTCCATTCCATTCCGTTCCATCCGATTCCATTCCATTCTATTCCTTTCCATTCCATTTTCTTCCATTACATTCATTTCCATTCCATTCCTGTCCATTCCACTCCAGTCCATTCCATTTGTTTCCGCTCCATTCCAGTACATTCCATTCGAGTACGTTCCATTGCATTCCATTCAATTCCATTCGATGCCACTCCATTCGATTCTATTCCAATCGACTCCATTCCATTCCATTCCGTTCCATCCGATTGCATTCCATTCTATTCCTTTCCATTCCATTCCCTTCCATTCCATTCTTTTCCATTCCATTCTGTTTCATTTCATTCCATTCCATTCCATTCAATGCCATTCAAATTGACTCCATTCCATTCCATTCCGTTCTATCTGATTCCATTCCATTTTATTCCTTTGCATTCCATTCCATTCCTTTCCAATCCATTCCAATCTTCTCCATTCCACTCCAGTTCATTCCATTTGAGTCCATTCCATTACAGTCCATTCCATTCGAGTCCATTCCATTCGATTCCAATCGATTCGATTGCATTCCACTCGATTCCACTCCATTCAATTCCATTGTATTCCGTTCTATTCCATTCCACTGCATTCCATTCTATTCCATTCCATTGCATTCCATTCCATTCCATTTGATTACATTCCATTCGATTCCATTCCATTCAAATGAATTACATTGCAGTCCATTACATTTGACTCTGTTCTATTCCAGTCCATTCCGTTCCTGTCCATTCCATTCGATTCCATTCCATTCGATTTCATTCCCTCCGATTCCATTCCATTCTTTACCATTCTATTCGAATAAATTCCATTCGAGACCATTGGTTTCGAGTCCGTTCTATTTGAGTCCATTCCATTCGAGTCCGTTACATTTGGGTCCATCCCATTCCATTCCATTTAATGCCATCCCATTTGATTCTATTCCATTCGAGTCCATTGCATTCTAGTCCATTAAATTCGAGTCCATTCCTTTACACTCCATTCCCTTCCATTCTATTCGACTCCATTCCATTCCTTTCCATTCCGTTCCATTCCGTTCCATTCCATTCCATTCCGTTCCATTCCATTCCATTCGATTACATTCCATTCGCGTCCATTACATTCGATTCCATTCCATTTGATTCCATACCTTTTGATTCAATTCCATTCGAGTCCATTCCATAAAATTCCATTCTTTCCTTTCCGTTCCTTTCCAGTCCATTCGATTCCAGTCTATTCTAATCCACTCCACTCCACTCCGTTGAATTCCGTTACTTCCCATTCCATCTCTTTCCAATCTATTTCCCTCCACTCCACTACCCTCCATTAAATGCCATTCCACCCCATTCCATTCCACTCCATTTCAATCCACTCTACTCCACTTCATTGCATTCCATTTGATTGCATTGAATGCCTTTCGATTTCATTCCACTCGATTCCATTCCATTCCATTCCATTCCATTCAATTCTATTCCATTCATTCCATTCATTTCCATTTCATTCCATTCCATGCCATTGCATTTCATTTCCACTCCCCTCTACTGCACTCCATTCCGTTCAATTCCATTCCTTCTCATTCCATTCCACTCCATTCCACTCCATTCCGTTCCACTCACTTCCATTCCACCCCTTTCCATTCCCCTCCATTTCACTCCTCTCTTCTCCACTGCTTTCCATTCGATGCCTTTCGATTAAATTCCATTCGATTCCATTCCATTCATTTGCACTCCAGTCCACTCCATTCCAATCCTTTCCGTTCCATTCTATTCGATTCCATTCCACTCCAAGCCACTCTGATCCACTTTATTCCATTCCATTCCATTGTATTCAACTCCATTCCATTCAATTCCGTTCTATTCCTTTCCACTCCACTCCACTACACTCCATTGAAATCCATTCCTCCCCATTCCTTTCCACTCCATTCCATTCCACTGCACTCCATTTCAATGCATACCATTCGATTACAGTCGTTTCCATTCGATTCCATTCTAATCGATTCCAAACCTTTTGATTCCACTCCATTCGATTAGATTCCATTCCATTCGATTTCATTCCTTTCGATTTGATTTTATTCCATTCGGGTCCATTCCTTTCGATTATATTTCACTCGATTGCATTCCATTCGAGTCCATTCCTTTCGAGTCCATTAAATTAAATTCCATTCTTTCCATTCCATTCCAGTCCAGTCCATTCCAGTCCATTCCAGTCCACTCCTCTCCACTCCACTCCATTCAATTCCATTACTTCTCATTCCATTCCATTCCACTCCATTCTTCTCCACTCCACTACATTCCATTCAATTTATTTCCACCCAATTCCATTACACTCCATGACAATCCATTCCACTCCAGTTCATCACATTCCATTTGATTCCATTCATTGCCATTCAATTCCATTCCTTTCGATTGCCTTCCACTTTATTCCTCTCCATTTGATTCCATTCCATTCTATTCCATTCCCGTCGATTCATTTCCATTCGATTCCATTACATTCGAGGACATTCCATTCAATTCGTTTCAATTCCAGTCCATTCCATTGCAGTCCATTCCTTTTGAGTCCATTCCATTCGGGACTATTCCACTCCAGTCAATTCCATTCGAGCCCATTCTATTCCAATCCATTTCACTCCAGTCCATTCCATTTGAGTCCATTCCATTCGAGTCCATTCCATTCCAGTCCAATCTATTCCAGTCTATTCCGTTTGAGTCTATTCTGTCGGAGTCCATTATATTCTTTTCCATTCTCTTCCCTTTCCTTTCCTTCCTTTCCATTCCTCTCCACTTCACTCCTTTCCATTCCTTTCCACTTCACTCCATTCCATTCCACTCCACTCCATTCTATTCCACTGCATTCCACTCCATTCCACTTTTCCATTCCATTCCATTCCATTCCATTCCATTCCATTCTATTGCATTCCATTCCACTCTGCTCTGCTCCACTCCACTCCATTCAATTCCATTCTTTCTCATTCCATTCCACTCTATTCTTCTCCAATCCACTCCATTCCATTCAATTCCATTCCACTCTATTCCATTCCACTGCATTCCACTTCTCTCTACTCCACTTCACAGCATTCCAGTCGATGCCATTCAATTCCTTTCCATTCAATTCCATTCCAATTCATTCTATTTCATTTGATTCCATTCCATTCCATTCAATCCCGTTCCATTCCATTCCATTCCATTCCGTTCCATTCCATTCCATTCCATTCCGTTCCATTCCATTCCTTTCCATTCCATTCCATTCCATTCAATTCGAGTCCGTTCCATTCCATTCCATTCCATTGGATTCCTTTCCAAACTATTCCATTCCATTCAAGTACATTCCCTTTGAGTCCATTCCATTCCATTCCATTCCATTCCATTCCATTCCATTCCATTCCCCTCCATTCCACTCAACTGCACTCCACTACATTCCATTCCTTTCTATTCCATTACATTCCATTGCCCTCCTGTCGACTCCATTCCATTCCATTCCTCTCCATTCCATTCCACTCCATTCGGTACTTTCCTTTACACTCCACTCCTCTCCACTCCACTCCATTCCACTTCACTCTATTCCATTCCATTCCATTCCATTGCATTACAATCCACTCCACTCCACTCCACTCAATTCCATTCCTTCCCATTCCATTCCATTCCACTCCATCGCACTTCATACAATTGAGTTCCACATCATTCAATTCCACTCCATTTCACTCCACTCCACTTAACCGCATTCTGTTAGATTCAATACGATGCCATTCTATTCCTTTACATTCCATTTCATTCCAGTCGATTCCATTCTATTCAATTCCATTCCATTCGATTCAATTCCTTTTGATTCCATTCCAGTGTATTCCATTCAATTTGATTCCCTTCCACTCGATTCCACACCATTTGGGTGCTTTTCATTCGAGTCCATTCCATTCCTCTCCATTCCCTCCCAGTCCATTCCAGTCCAGTCCATTTTACTCGAGTCCATTGCATTCCATTCCTTCATATTCCATTCCACTATACTCCATTCCATTCCATTGCATTGCACTCCACTCCACTCCGTTCAAATCCATTCCAATGCATTCCATTCCATTCCATTGCATTCCATTCAAATCTATTCCAATCCATTCCATTCCATTCCACTCCATTCCATACCATTCCACTCCACTCGACTCCACTCCATTCCTTTCCATTCCATTCAACTCAACTCCAAACAAATCCACTCCCCTCGATTCCTCTACATTCCACTCTATTCCACTCAAATCCACTCCACTGCACTCCACTCCACTCCACTTCACTCCACTCCACTCCATTCCATTCCATTGCTTTCCACTCCACTCTGTTCAATTCCATTCCTTTAAATTCCATTTTATCACATTCCGTTAGATTCCACTGCACTCCACTCCATTGAATTCCAGTCCACCCTATTCCATTCCACACCATTCCACTCCACTCCACTCTACTTCACGGCATCCCATTCAATTCCATTTGATGTCATTCGATTCCATTCAGTTCCATTCCATTTGATTCCATTCCATTCAATTTCATTCCTTTGAATTCCATTCCGTTAGATTCCATTGCATTCGAGGCCATTCCATTCCAGTCTACTGCATTCAGGTCCATTCAGTTTGGGTCCATTACATTCGAGTCCATTCCACTCGCGTCCATTCCATTTCATTCCATTCCACTCCACTCCACTCCACTCCATTCCACTCCACTCCATTACACTACATTCTGCTCCAGTCCATTCCATTCCATTCTATTCCATCCCACTGCAATCCACTCCACTGCACTCCACTCCATTCTATTCTATTCCACTCCACTCCATTTCATTCCACTCCACTCCATTCCACTCCACTACATTCCAATCCAATTCATTCCATTCCATTCTATTCAATTCCATTCCTTTCCATTGTGTTCCATCGCACTGCAATCCACTCCACTCCTCTCCACTCCACCCCATTCCATTCTATTCCACTCCATTCCATTTCATTCCAATCCACTCCATTCTACTCCACTACATTCCATTCCAATTCATTCCATTCCATTCTATTACATTCCATTCCACTCCACTCCTCTCCATTCAATTCCATTTCCATTCATTCCATTTCATTCCACTGTAATACATTCCATTCCATTCCATTGCATTCCAGTCCAGTCCACTCCCCTCCGTTCAATTCCATTCCTTCCCATTCAATTCCTTTCCAATCCATTTCACCTGACTCCACTCCACTCCATTCAATTAAATTCCACCCCATTCCATTCCACTTCATTCCACTCCTCTCCACTTCACCACATTGTTTTCAAATCCATTAGATGCTTTTCGAATCCATTCAATTCGAATCCATTCCATTCGATTCCATTCCATTCAATCCCATTCTATTTGATTCCGTTCCATTCGATTCCATTGCATTTGATTCCTTGGCATTTGATTCCATTCCATTCCATTCCGTTCCATTGCATTCCATTCCGTTATATTTGACTCAATTCCATTTGAGTCCATTCCTTTTGAGTCCAATCCATTCCAGCCATTCCACTGGAATCCAATCCATTCCAGTCCATTCCATTTGATTCAATTCCATTCCAATCCATTTCATTCCACTCCACTCCACTCGTCTCCCCTCCACTCAACTCCATTCCAATCAAATCCAATGCATTGCACTCAAATACATTGCATTCCATTCCATTCAATTCCTTTCCTTCCCATTCCTTTCCATTCCAATCAATTTCCCTCCACTCCACTCCATTCTATTCCATTCCAGCCCATTCCATTCCACTCCATTCCACTCCACTCCACTTCACAGCATTCCATTCGATTCCATTCCATTCCAGTCCATTCCGTTCAATTTCATTAAATTCGATTCCATTCCATTCGAATCCATTCCTTTCGAATCCTTTCCTTTCGATTTCATTCCCTTCTGTTCCATTCCATTCCATTCCATTTCATTCGATTCCAGTCCATTCCATTCCTTTCCATTCCATTCCATTCCACTGCATTCCACTAACTCCACTCCACTCTGCTTTACTCCATTCCTTCCCATTCCATTCCACTCCATTCTAATCCAATCCACTCCACTCCATTCTATTCCAATCCACTCCACTCCATTCTATTCCAATCCACTCCATTCCACTCCATTCCACTCCTCTCCACTCCGATTCACCGCAATCCATTCCATGCCATTTGATTACATTCAATTCAATTCCGTTCTAATCCATTCAATTACATTCCCTTCCATTCCATTCCATTCCATTCCATTCCATTCCATTCCATTCTATCCCATTCCATTCCATTCTATTCCATTCCAATTCAGTTGATTGCATTCCATTCCTTTTGATTCCTTGCCATTCCATTCCATTCGATACTATTCCATTCTATTCCATTCCATTCCATTTTATTCCGTTCCACTTCATTCCTTTGCATTCAATTCCTTTCCATTCCATTCCATTCCATTCCATTCCATTCCATTGCATTCCATTCCATTCCATTCCATTCATTGATTCCATTCCTTTGGATTCCCTTCCATTGAATTCCATTCCATTCGAGTCCAGTCCATTCCATTCCAATACATTTCGTTCCATTCCATTCCATTCCATTCCATTCCATTCCATTCCGTTCCATAACCCTTCACTCCAATTCACTCCCCTTAACGCCACTCCATTCCATTCGATTCCATTCCATTCTATTCCATTCAATTCCACTCAATTCCATTCCATTCCACTCCACTCCATTCCACTCCGTTTCAATCTATTCCACTCCATTCCATTCTATTCCATTCCTCTCCACTCAACTCCACTCCACTCCATTCCTTTTCACTCCATTCCATTCTATTCCATTTCTTTCCAATCCACTCCACTCCATTCAATTCCATTCCTTCCCGTTACATTCAATTCCACTCCATTCCTCTCCACTCCTCTCCACTCCATTCAATTGCATTCCAATTCTTTCCATTGCACACCACTCCACTGAACTTCACCACATTCCATTCGAATCCTTTCGATGCCATTTGATTCCATTCCATTTTATTTCATTCGATACCATTTGATTCCATTCCTTTCGGTTCCATTCCATTTGATTGTGTTCCATTTGATTCCTTGCATTCAATTCCATTCTATGTCATTTGATTCCTTTCCATTCGAATCCACTCCATTCCATTTGATTCCGTTGTACTCCATTCTACTCCATTCGAGTCCATTCCACTCCATTCCATTCCTTTCCATTCCATTTGATTCCATTCCTTTCGAGTCCATTGCATTCAATTCCATTCGATTCCATTCGATACTATTCCATTCCATTCCATTCCTTTCAATTCCATTCGTGTCATTTCCATTCCATTCCATTCCATTCCATTCCATTCCATTCCATTGCACTGCATTCCACTCCACTCCACTCCACTCTTTTCAATTCCATTCCTTCCCATTCCATTCCACTCTGTTCCAATCCAATCCACTCCACTCCATTCTATTCCATTCCACTCCATTCCATTCCACTCAATTCCACTCCTCTCCACTCCAGTTCACCGCATTCCATTTGATGCCACTCAGTTCCATTCCATTCGATTCCATTCCATTCCATTCATTTCCATTCCATTCCGTTCCATTCCTTTCCATTCCTTTCGATTCTATTGCATTCGATTGCATTCCATTTCATTTGATTCCATTCCATTAGATTCCATTCCATTCATTTCCCTTCCATTCCATTCAGTTCCATCCCATTCCGTTCCATTCCAATCCATTCCCTTCCATTCCATTGCATTTGATTCCATTCCATTTCATTTGATTCCATTCCATTCCTTTTGATTCCATTGCACTCAATTCCATTCCATTTCACTCTATTCGAGACCATTCCATTCCATTCCTTTCCACTCTATTTGTTTCCATTCCATTCAATTCCATTCCATTCGTTTCGTTTCCATTCGTTTCCAATCAATTCCATTCAATTCTATTGCATTCTATTCCATTCCATTCGAGTCCATTCCCTTCCATTCCATTCCCTTCTATTCCTTCCATTCCATTCCACTGCATTCCACTACACTCCTATTCACTCTGCTCAATTCCATTCCTTCCCATTCCATTCCACTCCTTTCCAATGCAATACACTCCAGCCCATTCTATTCCATTCCACTCCATTCCATTCCACTCCATTCCAGTCCTCTCCACTCCACTTAACCGCAATCCATTCAATGCTGTTTGATTCCATTCCATTCTTTTCCATTCCACTCCATTGCATTCCATTCCATTTCGTTCCATTCCATTCTACTCCATTCCTTTCTATTCTATTCCATTCCTTTTAATTCCATTGCCTTCAAATCTTTTCGAGTTAATTCCTTTCCATTCCATTCTATTCCATTCCATTCCATTCCATTCGTTTCCATTCCTTTCAATACCATTCCTTTGGATTCCATTCCATTCTATTCCATTCCATTCGAGTCCAGTCCATTCCAATCCATTCCATTAAAATCCATTCCATTCCATTACAATCCATTCCATTCCATTCCACTCCATTCCATTCCATTTCCCTTCACTCCACTCCATTTTGTGCCACTTCATTCTATTCGATTTCATTCCATTCCATTCCAATAAATTCTGCTCTACTCCATTCCATTCTATTCCAGTCCATTCAACTCCATTCCATTCCATTCCATTCTATTCCATTCCACTCCACTCCATTCCATTCCATTCCACTGCTTTCCCATCCACTCCACTACTTTCCGTTCAATTACATTCCTTCCCATTCCATTCCATTCCACTCCATTCCTCTCCACTCCTCTGCACTCCGTTAAATTCCATTCATTATCATTCCACTCTACTCCATTCCACTCCAATCCACTCCACTCCATTCAATTCCATTCCACACCATTCCATTCCCGTCCATTCCACTCCTCTCTACTCCACTTCACCACATTTTATTCGATGCCATTCGTTTCCATTCCATTCCATTCCATTCCATTCCATTCCATTCCATTCCATTCCATTCTGTTCCATTCCACTCGGTTTTAATCAATTCCATTCTATTCCATTCCATTGCTTTTCAATTCCTCTCCACTCCACTCAACTCCATTCAATTATATTTCTTCTCTTTCCATTCCACTCCATTCAAAACCAGTGCACTCCACTGCATTCAATTCCATTCCACCCCTCTGTTCTCCACTTCACCACATTCCAGTTGATTCCATTCAATTCCTTTCCATTGGATTCCATTCCATTGGATTGCATTCCTATTTCTTTCTATTCTATTGCATTCCATTCAATTCCATTCCATTTGTGTCCATTCCATTCCATTCCCTTCCATTCCATTCCATTCCATTCCATTCCCTTCCATTCCAGTCCATTTCATTCTTTTCCATTCCATTCCTTTCCATTCCATTCCATTCCATTCAGTTCCATTTCTTTCCTTTCCATTGCCTTGCATTCCATTCCATTAGATTCCATTACATTCGATTCTCTTCTATTTGATTCCTTTCATTTGATTCCATTCCTTTCGTCTGCATTTCATTCGATTCCTTTACATTCGATTCCATTCCCTTCTATTGCATTCCATTCGATTGCATTCTATTTGATACCATTCCATTCCGTTCCATTCCATTCCATTCCATTCCATTCCATTCCATTCCATTTCATTCGATTCCATTCATTTTGAGTCCGTTCCATTGCAATCCATTCCATTCAAGTCCATTCGATTCCACTCCATTCCATTCCCGTCCCTTCCATTCGATTGCTTTTCATTCGATTCCATTCCACTCGATTCCATTCCCTTTGCATCCATTCCTTTCGAGTACATTCGATTAGTGTACATTCCATTCAAGTCCATTCCATTCGAGTCCATTCCATTCCAGACCATTTCATTCGATTCCATCCCATTTGCTTCCAATCCATTCGATCCCCTTCCTTTTGATTCCACACTGTTAGAGCCCATTCCATTTGAGTCCAATCCATTTGATTCCATTACATTACATTACATTGCATTACATTACATTCGATTCCATTCCATTTGATTCCGTTTCATTGGATTCCATTACATTGGAGTCCATTCCTTTCCATTTGATTCCATTCCAATCCATTCCATTCCATTCCATTCCATTCCATTCCATTCCATTCCATTCAATTCCATTCCATTCTAATCCCTTCCATTCCATTCCATTCCTTTCGAGTCCATTCCATTCCAGTCCATTCCTTTCGAGTATATTCCATTCCACTCCATTCCATTCCATTCCATTGGAGTCCATGCGGCTTGAGTCAATTCCACCCGAGTCCATTTCATTCGAGTCCATTCCTCTCGAGTACATTCCATTTCACTCCATTCCATTCCATTCCATTCCATTCCATTCCATTTGAGTGCATTCCATTCCTATCCAATCCATTCGAGAACATTCCATTCCATTCCATTCCTTTCCATTTGATTCCATTCCATTACAGTCTGTTCCATTCAAGTCCATTCCATTCCGTTCCATTCCATTTCATTCCATTCCATTTCATTGGAATCCATGTGTCTTGAGTCCATTCCACCCAAGTCCATTCCATTCGAGTCCACTCCACTCGAGTCCATTCCATTCTAGTCCATTTGACTCGAGTCCATTCAACTCGAGTCCATTCAATTCAAGTCCATTCCTCTCCAGTCCATTCCATTTCACTCCATTCAATTCCATTACATTTCATTCGATTCCATTCCATTTGATTCCGTTTCATTTGAGTCCATTCCATTCCTGTCCAACCCATTTGAGCCCATTCCATTCCATTCCACTCCTTTCCATTTGATTCCATTCTATTCGAGTCCATTCGCTTCGAGTCCATTCCATTCTAGTTCATTCCACTAGAGTCCATTCCATTCAATTCCAGTCAATTCGAGTCTGTTCCACTCGATTCCATTCCATTCGAGTCCATTCCGTTCCATTTGATTTGATTCCATTCCATTCGGGTCCATTCCATTCGTGTCCATTCCACTGAAGTCAATTCCATTCTAGTCCAGTCAACTCGAGTCCATTCAACTCAAGTTCATTCCATTCGAGTCTATTCCACTCGAGTCCATCCATTCCACTCCATTCCATTCCAGTCCATTCCATTCCCCTGCTCTGAACTCCATTACCTTCCACTACACTCCATTCCACTCCATTGCATTCCATTCCACTCCACTCCAATCCACTCCACTATGTTCAATTCCATTCCTTCACATTCCATTCCATTGCACTGCTTTACACTCAACTCAACTCCACTCTATTCACTTCCATTTCACCCCTTTCCATTCCCCTCCATTCCACACCACTGCCCTCCATTTCACTGCATTCCATTCGGTTCCAATCGATGCCATTCTATTCCATTCCTTTCGGTTCCATTCCAATCGATTCCATTCTATTAGAATCCATTCCATTTGATTTCATTCCATTCGAGACCATTCCATTCCATTCGATCCAATTCCATTCGATTCCATTCCATTCTATTCAATTCCTTTCGAATCCATTCCATTTTACTCCTTTCCGTTGTAGTCCATTGCATTCCATTCCACTTGATTTCATTCCATTCCATTCGTTTCCACCCCATTCCATTCCATTCCAATCTATTCCATTCGATTCCATTCAATTCCATTCCGTTCCGTTCCATTCCATCCCATTCAATTGCATTCCAATGCATTCCATTCCATTCCTTTCCATTCCATTCCATTCCATTCGATATCTTTCCACTGCTTTCCATTCCATTCCATTCGAGTCCATTCCATTCAAGTCTATTGCGCTCGAGTCCATTCCATTCCATTCCATTCCATTCCACTCCACTCCACTACATTCCATTACCCCATACCCATTGTATTCCACTGCATTCCAGTCCATTCCACTCCATTCCATTCCATTCCATTGCATTCCATTCAAATCCACTCCCATCCAATCCACACCGTTCAATTCCATTCCTTCCCCTTCTATTCCATTCCACTCCAAACCACTCCACTCCATTCCACTCCACCCCACTACATTCCAATCCACTCCACTCCACTACATTCCATTCCACTCCACTCCACTCTACTCCACTCCTCTCTGTTCCACTCAAATCCGTTCTATTCCTTTCCTTCCCATTCCATTCCACTCCATTCCACTGCACTCCACTCCATTCCATTGGATCCCATTCCATTTGATTCCATTCCATTCAATTCAATTCCTTCTGTTTCCATTCCATTTGAGTCCTTTCCATTGTAGTCCATTGTATTCCATTCCATTCCATTTTACTCCATTCCATTCCATTCAATTCCACTCCATTCGATCCCACTCCATTCGATCCCACTCCTTTCGATCCCATTCCATTTGATTCAATTCCATTTTATTCCATTCAATTTGAATGTTTTCCATTCGAGGCCATTACATTGGAGTCCAATCCATTCCATTGCATTTCATTTCATTCCATTGCATTCGATTCCATTCCATTCCATTGCGTTCTTTTCCATTCCATTCCATTCCATTCTGTTCTTTTCCATTCCATTCGTATCCATTCCATTTCAGTCCATTCCATTCGATTCCATTCCATTCCAGTCCATTCCTTTTTATTCCTTTCCTTTCGATTCCATTCCATTCAATTGCTTTCAATTCGATTCTCTTCCAATTGATTCCATTCCTTTGGAGTCAATATTTTTCGAGTCCGCTGCATTCAAATCCATTCCATACGAGTCCATTTCATTCCAGTCAATTACATTTGAGTCCATTCCATTCCAGTCCATACCATTTGATTCCATTCCCTTCCATTCAATTCAATATCTTTCCATTCCATTCCATTCAAATTCATTCCATTAGATTCTATTCCATTAGATGCGAGTCCATTCCATTTGAGTGTATTCCACTCGAGTACATTCCATTCCATTCCATTCCATTCCACTCCATTCCATTCCATTCCTCTGCATTTGATTCCAATACACTCCATTCCATTCCATCCCATTCCATTGCATTCCATTCGAATCCACTCCACTCCACTCCACTTGGTTCAATTCTATTCTTTCCTATTCCATAACTTTCCACTCCATTCCACTCCACTCCATTCCATTCAATTTCATTTCACCCCACTGCATTCCAATCCATTCTACTCCACTGCACTCTGCTTCACCGCATTCCATTCGAATCCATTTGTTTCCATTTGATTTCATTCCACTTGATTCCATTCCATTCGATTCCATTCCATTCATACCCATTCCATTTGATTCCGTTCCATTCCATTGGAGTCCATTTCATTCAATTCCATTCCATTCCTTTCCATTCCATTCCATTCCATTCCATTAGATTCCATTCTATTCTATTCTATTCCATTCCATTTGTTTCCATTCCATTTGACTGCATTTCTTTCGATTCCATTCCATTCGATTACATTACATTCTATTGCATTCCATAAGATTACATTCCATTTGATACCATTCTGTTCCATTCCATTGCATACCATTCCATTCCACTCGATTCCATGTTATTTGATTCCATTCATTTTGAGTCCATTCCATTGCAATCCATTTCATTCAAGTCCATTCCGTTCCACTCCATTCCATTGCAGTCCATTCCATTCGATTGCATTGCATTCGATTCCATTCCATTCGATTCCATTCCACTCGATTCCATTCCCTTCGAGTCCATTCCATTAGTGTCCATTCCATTCGAGTCCATTCCATTTGAGTCCATTCCATTCCAGGTCATTACATTTGATTCCATTCCATTCGATTCCATTCCATTCGATCCCCTTCCATTCGATTCCATACCATTCGGGCCCATTCCATTCGAGTCCAATCCATTCGATTCCATTCGATTCCATTCCATTCCATTCCATTCCATTCCATTCCATTCCATTGCTTTCCATTCGATTCCATTACATTGGAGTCTATTCCATTCCAGTTGGTTCCATTCCATTATATTCCATTATATTCCATTCGAGTCCATTCCATTCCTGTCCATTCCATTCGACTCCATTCCACTCCATTCCATTTTATTCCATTCCATTCCATTCCTTTCCATTGGAGTCCATTTGGCTGGAGTCCATTCTACCTGAATCCACTGCATTGGAGTTTATTCCACTCGTGTCCATTCCATTCTAGTCCATTTGACTGGAGTCTATTCCACTCGAGTCCCTTCCACTCGAGTCCATTCCATTTCTATCCATTCCATTCCTTCCCATTTCATTCAATTCCGTTCCATTCGAGTCCATTCCATTCCTGTCCAATCCATTCAAGTCCATTCCATTCCATTCCATTCCTTTCCCTATGATTCCGTTCAATTCAAGTCCATTCCCTTCGAGTCCATTCCATTCCTTTCCATTCCATTCCATTCCATTGGAGTCCATGCGGCTCGAGTCCATTCGGCCCGCATCAATTGCATTCGAGTCCTTTCCACTCGTGTCCATTCCATTCTAGTCCATTTGACTCGTGTCCATTCCACACGAGTCCATTCCATTCGAGTCCATTCCTCCCGAGTCCATTCCATTTCACTCCATTCCATTCTATTCCATTTCATTCTATTCCATTCCATTCGATTCCATTCCATTCGAGTCCATTCCATTCCTGTCCAATCCATTCAAGTCCATTCCATTCCATTGCTTTCCATTTGATTCCATTTGATTCGAGTCCATTCCCTTCGAGTCCATTCCGTTCCAGTACATTCCATTCAAGTTCATTCCACTCCACCGCATTTCAATCCATTCCTTTCCTTTTCAGTCCATTTGATTCAATTCCACTCTACTCCACTCCATTCCTTTCCATTCCATTCCATTCCATTGAACTGCAATCCAATCCACTCCACTCAACTCCACACTACTCCACTCAACTCCTTTCCCTTCTGTTCCATTCCATTCCATTCAATTCCATTCCATTCCATTCCACTCCATTCCACTGCACTCCATTGCATTTCACTCCATTATACTCCATTCCACTCCATTCCACTCCACTCCACTCCACTCCATTCCATTCCACTGCACTCCGGTCCACTCCACTCAACTCCACTCCACTCCACTCAACCTCCACTCCATTCTATTCTGTTCCCTTCCATTCTGTACCATTCCATTCCATTCCACTCCACTCCATTCCACTCCACTCCATTCCACAACATTCCACTCCATTCCACTGCACTCCACTCCACTGCACTCCATTCCATTCCACTCAACTGCACTCCATTCCATTCCACTGCATTCCATTCCGTTGCATTCCACTCCATTCCAATGCACTCCATTCCACCCCACTCCACTCCATTATACTCCATTCCAATTCATTCCATTAATTTCCATTGCCTTCTACTCCATTCCATTTCATTCACTTCCACTCCATTCCTCTCCACTCCATTCCACTCCTTTCTGTTACTGTCCACTCCACTCCATTCCACTCCTTTCCTTTCTGTTCCATTCCACTCCACTCCATTCAATTCCACTCTACTCCATTCCATTCCATTCCTTTATTTCAATTGGCTGTAACTCTGTCTCCCAGACTGTAGTGCAGTGACACAATCTTAGCTCTCATTTCCTTTCACCACTGTGTTCCATTCCATTCCATTCCACTCCACTCCACTCCATTCCACTCCACTCTATTCCATTTCATTCCATTCCATTCCATTCCATTGCACTCTCATCCACTCAACTCAACTCCTCTGCACTCCACTCCACTCCATTCCGTTCCATTCCACTCCTTTCCATTACATTCCATTCCTTTCCATTCCATTCCTTTCCACTCCACTTCATTTCAATCCACTCCTTTCCATTAAATTCCTCCCTACTCCACTCCTCTCCACTCCATTCCATTCCATTCGACTGCACTCTGATCCACTCCACTCAACTCCACTCCACTCAACTGCACTCCACCCCACTCCACTCCATTCCACTCCACTCCACTCCATTCTGCTCCTCTCCATGCCATTCCACTCCACTCCATTCCATTCCACTCCGCTCCACTCCATTTCATTCCACTCCAGTCCTTTACATTACACTCCACTCCATTCCATTCCATTCCAGTCCACTCCACTCCACTCCATTCCACTCCACTCCTCTCCACTCCATTCCATTCCATTCGACTGCACTCTGATCCACTCCACTCAACTCCACTCTTCTGTTCTCCATTCCGTTCCATTCTGTCGCATTCCATTCCTTTCCATTGTATTCCATCCCACTCTAATCCATGCCATTCCACTCCTTTCCTCTCCTCTTCACTCCACTCCAATCCACTCCACTCCATTCCATTCCATTTCATTCTATTCCACTGCATTCTGATACACTACTCTCAACTCCACTGCACTCCAGTGCACTCCATTCCACTCCTTTCCATTCCTTTCCATTCAGTTCCGTTCCATTCCATTCCATTCCCCTCCACTGCATTCCACTCCACTCCATTTCACTCCATTCCACTCCCTTCCACTCTTCTTCACTCCACTCCACTCCAGTCTATTCCACTCTAATCCATTCCTTTCCACTCCACTCCAGTCCATTCCACTCTAATCCATTCCTTTCCACTCCACTCCACTCCATTCCATTCCACTCTATTCCATTCCTTTCCACTCTATTCCATTCCATTCCATTCCATTGCACTCCATTCAACTCCACTCCACTCCACTCTCCAATTCACTCTACTCCACTCCACTTTAATCCACTCCTTTCCACTCCACTCCATTCCAGTCCACTCTATTCCATTTGACTCCACTCCTCTCCACTCCACTCCATTCCATCCCATTCCTTTCAAATCCCCTCCATTCCGTTGCACTCCTCTCCACTCCACTCCACTCCAATTGTCACCACTCCACTCTACTCCTTTCCATTCCACTCCACTCAATTCCATTCCCTTCCATTCTGTTCCATTCCGTTTCATTCCACTGCACTCTGATCTTCACATAAAAACTAGACAGAAGATTTCTGAGAAACTTTTTTGTGATATGTGCATTCACCTCACAGAGTTTAACCATTCTTTTGATTGAGCAGTTTGGTAAAAGTCTTGTTGTAGAATCTACAAAAGGATATTTGTGAGCACTTTGAAGCCTGAGGTGAAAAAGTAAATATCTTCACAGCAAAACTAGAAAGATGGTGTCTGAGAAAGTGCTCTGTGATGTTTGAATTCATCTCACAGACTTCAACTTTTATATTGATTTAGCATATTGGAAACAGTCTTTTTGTAGAATCTCCAAAGGGATATTTTTGTACACTTGGAGGCCAATAGTGAGAAAGGAAATATCTTCACATGAATACTAGACAGAAGCTTTCTGAGAACTTCTGTTTTATGTGTGCATTCCTCTCAAACAGTTGAACCATTCTTTTGATTGAGCAGTTTGGAAACAGTCTTTTTGTAGAATCAGCAAAGGGATATTGTGAGCGCTTTGAGTCCTACGGGGAAAAAGGAAATATTTTCACATAAAAACTCTACAGAAGGTTTCTGAGAAACTGCTTTGTAATGTGTGCATTCATCTCACAGAGGTAAATGTTTCTTTTCATTGAGTAGATGGGAAACTCTTTTCTTGTAGAATCTGCAAAGGGATATTTGTGAGCACTTTGAGGCTTATGGTGAAAAAGGAAATATCTTCATATAAAATGTAGACAGAAGCTTTCTGAGGAACATATTTGTGATTTATGCATTCATCTCATAGAGTTGAACCATTCTTATTTTTTTTGGAGCTCTGGGTTTATTTTTTAATTATTTACTTTTATTATTATTATACTTTAAGTTTTAGGGAACATGTGTACAACGTGCAGGTTTGTTACATATGTATACATGTGCCATGTTTGTGTGTTGCTCCCATGAACTCATCATTTAGCATTAGGTATACCTCCTAATGCTATCCCTCCCCCTCCCCCTCCTCCCACCCAACTACAATCCCTGGTGTGTGGTGTGTGATGTTTCCCTTCCTGTGTCCATGTGTTCTCTTCGATCAATTCCCAACTATGTGTGAGAACATGTGGTGTTTTATTTTTTGTCCTTGCGATAGTTCGCTGAGAATGATGGTTTCCAGCTTCATCCATGTCCCTACAAAGGACATGAACTCATCATTTTTTATGGCCACATAGTCTTCCATGATGTATATGTGCCACATTCTCTTCATCCAGTCTACAGTGGTTGGACATTTACGTTGGTTCCAAGTCTTTGCTATTGTGAATAGTGCTGCTATAAACATACGTGTGCATGTGTCCTTATAGCAGCATGATTTATAGTCCTTTGGGTATATACCCAGTAATGGCATGGCTGGCTCAAGTGGTATTTCTAGTTCTGGATCCCTGAGGAATCGCCATGCCGACTTCCACAATGGTTGAACTAGTTTACAGTCCCACCAACAGTGCAAAAGTGTTCCTATTTCTCACATCCTCTCCAGCACCTGTTGTTTCCTGACTTTTTAATGATCGCCATTCTAACTGGTGTGAGATGGTATCTCATTGTGGTTTTGACTTGCATTTCTCTGATGGCCAGTGAAGATGAGCATTTTTTCATTGTTCATTGGCAGCATAAATGTCTTCTTTTGAGAAATGTCTGTTCATATCCTTTGCCCACTTTTTGATGGGGTTGTTTGGTTTTTTTCCTGTAAATTTGTCTGAGTTCATTGTAGATTCTGGATATTAACCCTGTGTCAGATGAGTAGGTTGCAAAATTTTTCTCCCATTCTATAGGATTCCTGTTCACTCTGATGGTGTTTTCTTTAGCTGGGCAGAACCTCCTTAGTTTAATGAGATCCCATTTGTCAATTGTGACTTTTGTTGCCATTGCTTTAGGTGTTTTAGACATGAAGTCCTTGCCCATGCCTATGTCCAGAATGCTATGGCCTAGGTTTTCTTCTAGAAATTTTATGTGATGCGTTATTTTGATTAATGAGTTTGGATACTATGTTGTTGTAGAATCTGCAAGGAGATATTTGTGAGCGCTTTGAGGCCTTTGGTGAAAAAGGAAATACCTTCACATAATAAATAGACAGAAGTTCTCTGAGAAACCTCCCTGTCATGTGTGCATTCATCTCACATAGTTGAAACAGTCTTTTGACTGAACAGCTTGAAAACTGTCAATTTGTAGAATCTGCAATGGGATATTTGTGAGCCCTTTGAGGCCTATGGTGAGAAAGGAAATATCTTCAATAAAAACTATAAAGAATGTTTCTGAGAAGCTGTTTTGCAAGGTTTGCCCTCATCTCAGAGAGATAAAAGTATCTATTCTTTGATGAGTCTGGAAACTCTGTTCTTGTAAAATCTGCAAAGGGATATTTGTGAGTGGCTTGAGGCCTACGGTAAAAAAGGAAATGTCTTCACATAAAAACTACACAGAAGATTTCAGAGAAACTTCTTTGTGATATATGCATTCATCTCACAGAGTTGAACCATTCTTTTGATTGAGAAGTTTGGAAACAGTCTTTTCAGAGAATCTGCAAAAGGATATTTTGAGCGCTTTGTTACGTATGGTGAAAAGGGAAATATCTTCACATAAAAAGTGGACAGAAGCTTTTGGAGAAACTTCTTTGTGATGTGTGCATTCATCTCACAGATTTGAACCTTTCTTTTGATTGAGCAGTTTGAAAAGAGTCCTTTTCTAGAATCTGCAGAGGGATATTTGTGAGCCCTTTATGGCCTAAGGAGAAATAGGAAATATCTTCACATAAAAACTAGACAGAAGCATTCTGAGAAACTTCTTGGTGACATGTGCATTTATAACACAGAGTTGATCCCTTCTTTTGATTAAACAGTTTGGTAACAGTCTTTTTGTAGTATCTGTAGAGGGATGTTTGTGAGCAGTTTGAGGCCTATGGTGAACAAAGAAATATCTTCACATAAAAACTAGACAGAAGCTTTCTGAGAAACTTCTTTGTGATGTGTGAATTAATCTCAGAGTGTTGAACCTTTCTTTGGATGGAGCAGTTTGTAAACAATCTTTTTGTAGAATCTGCAAAGGTATATCTCTGAGCCCATTGAGGCCTATGGTGAAATATGAAATATCTTCCCATAAAAACTAGACAGAAGGTTTCTAAGAAACTTCTTTGTGATGTGTGCTTCCATCTCACAGAGTTGAACCTTTCTTTTGATTGAGCAGTTTGGAAACCACCTTTTTGTAGAATCTGCAAATGGATATTTAGAGCGCTTTGAGGCCTATGGTAAAAAAGGAAATATCATTACATAAAAATTCGACGGAAGCATTCTGAGAAACTTCTTTGTGAGGTTTTCATTCATCTCACACAGATGAACATTTATTTGATTGAAGATTTGACAACAGTATTTTTGTAAAATCTACAAAGGGATAATTGTGAACCCTTTGAGGCCTATGGTGAAGTAGGAAATATCTTCACATAAAAACTACACAGAAACTTTCTGAGAAACTATTTTGTGATGCTTGCATTCATCTCACAAAGTTGAACCTTTCCTTTGCTAGAGCAGTTTGGAAACAGTCCTATTGTAGAATCCCCAAAGGGATATTTCTCAGCTGATTGAGGTCTTTGGTGATATAGGAAATATCTTCACATAAAGCTAGACAGAAGCTTTCTGAGAAACTTATTTTTAATGAGTGCTTTCATCTCAAAGAGTTAAGCATTTCTTTTACTGAGCAGTTTGGAAACACTCTTTTTGCATAATCTGCAAATGGATAATTGGAGCGTTTCGAGGCCTATGGTGAAAAAGCAAATATCTTCACATAAAAACTAAACAGAAGCTTTCTGAGAAACTACTTTGTAATGCGTGCATTCATCTCACAGCGTTGAAATCTTCTTTTGATTGAACAGTTTGTAAACAGTCTTTTTGTAGAATCTACAAATGGATATTTGGAGTGCTTTGAGGCCTATGGTAAAAAAGGAAATATCTTCACAAAAAAACTAGAAAGAAACATTCTGAGAAACTTCTTTGTGATATGTGCTTTCATCTCACAGAGATGAACCTTTCCTTTCATTGAGCAGCTTGGAAACAGACTTTTTATAGAATCTGGAAATGCATATTTGGAGCGCTTTGAGGCCTGCGGTGAAAAAGGAAATATCTTCAGATAAACACTAAACAGAATCTTTCTAAGAAACTTCTTTGTGATGCGTGCATTCATATCATAGAGCTGAAACTTTCTTTTGATTTAGCAGTTTGTAAACAGTCTTTTGGTAGAATCTGTGAATGGCTATTTCGAGCGTGTTGAGGCCTATGGTGAAAAAGGAAATATCTTCACAAAAAAACTACAAATATACATTCTGAGAAACTTCTTTGTGATGTGTGCTTTCACTTCACAGAGTTGAAACTTTCTTTTGATTGAGCTATTTGGAAACAGTCTTTTTGTGGAATCTGCAAATGGATATTTGGAGCACTTTGAGGCCTATGGTGAAAAAGGAAATACCTCACATGAACCCTAGACAGAAGTATTCTGAGAAACTTCTTTGTCTTGTGTCCATTCATCTCACAGAGTTGAACCTTTCTTTGGATTGAGCAGTTTGGAAACAGTCTTATTGTAGAATCTGCAAAAAATATTTTTGAGCCCTTTATGGCCCATGGTGAAACAGGAAATATTCTCAAAGAAAAACTAGACAGAAGCTTTCTGAGAAACTTCTTTGTGATGCGTGCTTTCAACACATGGAGTTGTACCTTTCTTTTGATTGAGCAGTTTGGAAAGGGTCTTTTTGTGGAATCAGCAAATGGATGTTTGGAGCGCTTTGAGGCCTATGGTGAAAAAGTAAATACCTTCACATAAAAAACAGACAGAAGCATTGTGAGAAACATCTCTGTGATGTGTGCATTCATTTCATACAGTTGAATCTTTCTTTGATTGAGGAGTTTAGAAACAGTCTTTTTGTGGAATCAGCAAATGGATGTTTGGAGCACTTTGAGGCTTATGGTGAAAAAGGAAATACCTTCACATAAAAAATAGACAGAAGGATTGTGAGAAACATCTATGTGATGTGTGCATTCATCTCATAGAGTTGAACCTTTCTTTGATTGAGCAGTTTGGAAACAGTCCTTTTGTAAAATCTGCAAAGGGGTATTTCTGAGCCCATTGAAGCCTAGGGTGAAAAAGAAATGTCTTCACATAAAAATTAGATAGAAGCATTCTGATAAACTTTTTTGTGGTGTGTCCATTCATCTCGCAGAGTTGAAACTTTCTGTGGATTGAGCAGTTTGGAAACAGCCTTTTTGTAGAATTTACAAAAATATTTGTGAGCACTATATGGCCCATGGTGAAATAGGAAATACCTTCACACAAAAACTAGACAGAAGCTTTCTGAGAAACTACTTTGTGATGTTTGCTTCCGTGTCACAGGGTTGAAACTTTCTTTTGATTGAGCAGTTTGGAAACACTCTTTTTGTAGAATCTACAAATGGGTATTTGGAGTGCTTTGAGGCCTATAGTGAAAAAAGAAATATTTTCACCGAAAAACTAGATAGATGTATTCTGCAAAACTTCTTTGTGATGTGTGCATTCATCTCATAGAGTTGAATCTTTCTTTGGATTCAGCAGTTTTCTAAACAGTCCTTTTGTAGAATCTGCAAACGGATAATTCTGAGCCCACTGAGTCCTATGCTGAAAAAGGAAATATCTTCACATAAAAACCTAAAAACTAGACAGAAGCATTCTGAGAAACCTCTTTCTGGTGTGTGCATTCATCTCACAGAGTTGAACCTTTCTTTAGTTTGAACAGTTTGGAAACAGTCTTTTTTTTGAATATGCAAATGGATATTTGTGAGCCCTTTACAGCCTATGGTGAAATAGGAAATATCTTCACATAAAAACCAGACAGTAGCATTCTGAGAAACTTCTTTGTGATGTGTGTATTCATCTCACAGAATTGAACATTTCTTTGGATGCAGCAGTTTGGAAACAGTCTTTTTGTAGTATCTGCAGAGGGATATTCATGAGCAGTTTAAGGCCTATGGTTAAAAAGGATATATCTTCACAGAAAACCTCGACAGATCCATTGTGAGAAACTTCTTTTAGATGTGTGCATTCATCTCACAGAGTTGAACCTTTCTTTGGATTGAGCAGTTTTCTAAACAGACCTTTTGTAGAATCTACAAAGGGATACTTCTGAGCCCGTTGAGGCCTATGGTGAAAAAGGAAATATCTTCACATGAAATCTTAACAGAAGCTTTCTGAGAAACTTCTTTGTGATGTGTGCATTCATCTCACAGTGTTGAAACTTTCTTTTGATTGAGCAGTTTGGAAATAGTCTTTTTGTACAATCTGCAAAGGGATATTCCTGAGCCATTTGAGGCTATTGTGAGATAAATATCTTCATATAAAAACTAGACAAAAGCATTCTAAGAAACTTCTTTGTAATGTGTGCATTCATCACACAGAGTTGAAACTTTCTTTCGATTGTGCAGTTTGGAGACAGTATTTTTGTATAATATGCAAAAGGATATTTTTGAGCCCTTTCAGGCCTATGGTGAAATAGGGAATATCTTCACACACAAAAAAAAACTAGACAGAAGCTTTCTGAGAAAATTCTTTGTGATGTGTGCTTTCGTCTTACAGAGTTGAACTTTTCTTTTGATTGAACAGTTTGGAAACATTCTTTTTGTAGAATCTGAAGATGGATATTTGCAGCATTTCAGGCCTATGGTGAACAGGAAATGTCTTCACATAAAAACTAGAGAGAAGCATTCTGAGAAAGTTCCTTGTGATGTGTGCATTCATGTCACAGAGTTGAAACTTTCCTTGGATTGAGCAGTTTGGAAAGAGTCCTTTTGTAGAATCTGCAAAAGGATGTTTGTGAGCACATTGGAGCCTATGGTGAAATGGGAAATGTCTTCACATAAAAACTAGACAGAAGTTTTCTGTAAAACTTCTTTGTGCTGTGTGCTTTCACCACAAGGAGTTGAACCTCTCTTTTGATTGAGCAGTTTGGAAACACTCTTTTTGTAGAACTTGCAAACGGATATTTGTAGTGCTTTGAGGCCTATGGTGAAAAAGAAAATATCTGCATATAAAAACTAGTCGGAAACTTTCTGGGAAACTTTCTGAGAAACTTCTTTGTGATGTGTGCTTTCATCTCACAGAGTTGGATCTTGTTTTCATTGAGCAGTTTGGCAACAAGTCATTTTGTAGAATCTGAAAAGTGATATTTGTGAGTGGTTTGAGGCCTATAGTGAAAAAGTAAATATCTTCACCTAAAACCTAGACAGAAGCATTTTGAGAAAACTCTTTGTGATGTTTGCATTCATCTCACTGAGTTGAACCTTTCTATTCATTAAGCAGTGTGGAATCTTACTTTTTGTGCGATCTGCAAAGGAATATTTGTTTGCAGTTTGAGACCTATGGTGAAAAAGTAATATCTTCACATAAAAACTAGACAGTAGCATTCTGAGAAACTAATTTTTTTATGTGTGCATTGATCTCACAGAGTTGAACCTTTCTTTTGATGAGGCAGTTCAGAAACAGTTTTTTGTAGAATCTGAAAAGGGATATTTTTTATCTCTTTGAGGCCTAAGGTGAAATAGAAAATATCTTCACATAAAAACTAGACAGAAACTTTCTGAGAAACTTCTTTGTGATGTAGGCTTTCATCTCATAGATGTGAACCTTTATTTTGATTGAGCAGTTTGGAAAGAGTCTTTTGTAGTGTCTGAAGTGGGCTATTAGTGAGTGGACTGAGGCCTATGGTGAAAAAGGAAATGGCTTCTCAAAAAAAGTATACAGAAGCATTCTGAGAGACTTCTTTGTAATGTGCACATTCATCTTAAAGTGTTAAACATTTCTTTTGATTGAGCTTTTTGGAAACACTCTTTTTGTAGCATCTGCAAGTGTATACTTCTGAGCCCATTGAGACCTATTTTGAAATATGAAATATCTTCACATAAAAACTAGATAGAAGGTTTCTAAGAAACTCCTTGGTGAAGTGTGCTTTCATCTCACAGAGTTGAAACTTTCTTGTGATTAAGCAGTTTGAAAACACTCTTTTTGTAGATTCTGCAAGTGGATATTTGGAGCACTTTGAGACCCATGGTGAAAAAGGAAATATCTTCACATAAAAACTAAACAGAAGTTTTCTGAGAAACTTCTTTGTGATATGTGCATTCATCACACAGAGTTGAACCGTTCTTTTGATTGAGCAATTTGGAAAAAGTCTTTTTGTAGAATCTGCAAATGGATATTTGGAGCACTTTGAGGCCTATGGTGAAAAATGAAACTTCTTCATATAAAACAAGACAAAAGCATTCTGAGAAACTTCTTTGTGATGTGTGACAAAGTTTAGCCTTTCTTTTCATCGAGCAGTTTGGAAGCAGTCTTTTTGGAGAATCTGCAAAGGGATATTTGTTAGTGGTTTGTGGCCTATGGTGAAAAAGGAAATACCTTCACATAAAAACCAGACAGAAGCTTTTTGAGAAACCTCTTTATGATGTTTGCATTCATTTCACAGAGTCGAATCTTCCTTTTCATTGAGCAGTTTGGAAACAGTCTTTTTCCACAATCTGTAAAGGGATATTTCTGAGTGATATTTCTGAATGAAGAAATATCTTCATATAAAAATTAGACAGAAGTATTCTGGGAAACTTCTTTGTGATGTGTGCATTCAAACCACAGAGTTGAAGCTTTCATTTCATTGAGTAGTTCAGAAATAGTCTTTTCATACAATCTGCAAAGGGATATTTCTGAGACCTTTGAGGCCTATGGTGAAATAGGAAATATCTTTACATAAAAACTAGACAGAAGCTTTCTGAGGAACTTCTTTGTGATGCGTGCTTTCATCTCACAGAGTTCAACCTTTTTTTTTGATGGAGCAGTTTGGATACAGTCATTTTGTAGAATCTGCAAAGGGATATTTCTGAGTCCTTTGAGTCCTATAGTGAAATAGGGATTATCTTCACATAATAACTAGACAGAAGCATTCTGAGAAACTTCCTTGTGATGTGCCCTTTCATTTCACAGAGTTGAACCTTTCCTTTGATTGAGCAGTTTGGAAACACTCTTTTTGTAGAACCTGTAAACAGATATTTGGAGCGCTTTGAGGCATAAGGTGAAAAAGGAAGAATCTGCACACAATAACTAGATAGAAACTTTCTGAGAAACTTCTTCATGATGCGTGCTTTCATCTCACAGATTCAAACCTTTCTTTTCATTGAGTAGTTTAGGAACAAGTCATTTTGTAGAATCTGCAAAGTTATATTTGTGAGCTGTTTGAGGCCTATGGTGAAAAACAAAATATCTTCACATAAAAACCAGACAGAAGATTTTTGAGATAAATCTTTGTGATGTTTGCATTCATCTCAAAGAGTTGAACTTTTCTGTTCATTGAGGAGTTTGGAAACTTTCTTTTTGTGCAAACTGCAAAGGAGTGTTTCTGAGTGGTTTGAGGCCTATGGTGAAAAAGAAATAACTTCACATAAAAACTAGACACAAGCATTCTGAGAAACTTCTTTTTTATCTGTGCATTCACCTCACAGAGTTGAACCTTTCTTTTCATTGAGCAGTTCAGAAACAGTCTTTTTGTAGAATCTGCAAAGGGATATTTGTGATCCCATTGAGGCCTACAGTGAAATAGGAAATATCTTCACATAAATACTAGACAGAAGCTTTCTGAGAAACATCTTTGTGATGTGTGCTTTCATCCTACAGAGTTGAACCCTTCTGTTGATTGATCACTTTGGAAACAGTCTTTGGAAGAATCTACAAATGGATATTTGGAGAGCTTTGAGGCCTAGGTTTAAAAAGGAAATATATTCACATAAAAAGTAGAGGGAAGCATTTTGAGAAACTTCTTTGTGATGTGTGCTTTCATTTCACAGAGTTGAATCATTATTTTGGCTGAGCATCTTGGAAACAGTCTTTTTGTACAATCTGCAAAGGGATATTTGTGAGCCCTTTATGGCCTGTGGTGAAATACGAAATATCTTCACATAAAAACTAGACAGAAGATTTCTGAGAAACTTCTTTGTGATGTGTGCCTTCATCTCACAGTGTTGAACATTTCTTTTGATTGATCAGTTTGGAAAGTTTTTTTGTAGAATCTGCAAATGGATATTTGGAGATATTTGAGGCCTGTGGTGAAAAAGGAAGTATCTTAACATAAAAACTAGACAGAAGATTTCTGGAAAACTTCTTTGTGATGTGTGAATTCATGTCACAGAGATGAAGCTTTCTTCTGATTGAGTAGTTTGGAAACAGTCTTTTTGTAGAATCTGCAAAGGGTTATTTATGAGCGGTTTGAGGCCTATGGTGAAAAAGGGAGTATCAGCAAATAAAAACTAGACAGAAACTTTCTGAGAAACTTCTCTGTGATGTGTGCATTCATCTCGCAGAGTGGAAGTTTTCTTTGATTGAGCAGTTTGGAAACAGTCTTTTTGTAGAATCTGCAAAGGGATATATGTAGGTGGTTTGAGGTCTATAGTGAAAATGGAAATATCTTCACATAAAAACTAACTGCTCAATGGGAAGAAATTTTTACTTCTGTGTGATAAATGCAAATGTCACAAAGGAGTTACTCAGAAAACTTCTTTCTGCTTTTAATGTGAAGATATTTCCTTTTTCACCATATGCCTCAATGTGCTCGCAGATATCCCTTTGCAGATTCTACAAAAATACTGTTTCCAAACTGCTCAATAAACAGAATGGTTCAACCCTGTGAGACGAATGTGCACATCACAAAGAAGTTTCTCAGAAAACTCCCTTCTCATTTTTATGTGAAGATATTTCCTTTTAGAACATAGGCCTAAATGCACTCCCAAATATACCTTTGCAGAATCTACAAAAAGACTGTTTCCAAACTGCTCAATCAAAAGAAAGTTTCAACTCTGTTAGATAAATGCACACATCAGGAAGTACTTTCTCAGCAAGCTTCTCACAAGTTTTTATGTGAAGATATTTCCTTTTTCAATGTGGGTCACAAAGCACTCAAAAAAATCCCTTTGCAGACTCTAGAATAACAGAGTTTACAAACTACTCAATGAAAAGAAATGTTTACTTCTGTGAGATGAATACACATATCTTAAAACAGCTTCTCAGAATGCTTATTTCTAGTTTTTATGTGAAGATATTTCCTTTTTCACCATAGGCTTCAACTTGCTCCTAAATATCACTTTGCAGATTCTACAAAACGACTGTTTCCAAACTGCTCATTCCAAAGACAGGTTCAGCTCTTTGAGATGAATGCACACAACACAAAGAAGTTTCTCAGAATGCTTCTACCTAGTTTTTATGTGAAGATATTTCCTTTTCCAACAGAGGCCTTAAACTGTTCTCACATATACCTCTTCAGATACTACAAAAAGACTGTTTCCAGACTGCTCCATCAAAAGAAAAGTTCAACTCTGTGAGATAAATGGATACATCACAAAAAATTTTCTCAGAATACTTCTGTCTACATTTTATCTGAAGATATTTCTTTTTCACCATAGGCCTCTAACTTCGCAGAAATATTCCTTTGCAGATTTTACAAAAAGACTGTTTCCAAACTGCTCAATGAAAAGAAAGTTTCACCTCTGTGAGATGTATGCAGTCATCAAAAGGAAGTTTCTCAGAAAGCTTCTGTTTATATTTCATGTGAAGATATGTCCTTTTTCACCATAGGCCTCAAAGTGCTTGAAGTATCATTTGCAGATTCTACAAAAAGACTGTTTCCAAACTGCTCAATCAAAAAAAAGGTTCAAACCTGTGAGATGAAAGCACACATCATTAAGAAGTTTCTCAGAATGCTTCTGTCTAGTTTTTATATGAAGATATTTCCTTTTCCACCATAGGCCTCAAAGTGCTCCAAATATCCACTTGAACACTCTATGAAACAGTTTTTCAAAAGTGCTCAATAAAAGAAAGATTCAGCTCTGTGACATGAATGCACACAGCACAAAGAAGTTTCTCAGAATGCTTGTGTCTAGTTTTTATGTGAAGATGCTTCCTTTTCCACCAGAAGCCTCAAAGCACTTCAAATATACACTTGCAGATACTGCAAAAAGAGTGTTTCAAAACTGCTCAATCAATAGAAAGTTTGAAGTCTGTGAGATGAATGCACACATCACAAAGAAGTTTCTGAGAATGCTTCTGCCTTGTTTTTATGAGAAGATATTTCCTTTTTCACCATAGGCCTCAAAGCACTGGTAATATCCATTTGCAGATACTACAAAAAGACTGTTCCCAAACTGCTCAATAAAAAGAAAGTTTCAACTCTAGGAGATAAAAGCAAATATCACAAAGAAGTTTCTCAGAAACTTTCTATCTAGTTTTTATGTGAACATATTTCTTATCACCCCATAGACCTCAATCGGCTCACAAGTATCCTTCTGCAGATTGTAAAAAAGTACTGTTTCCAAACCGCTCAATCACAGGAAAGGTTTAACTCTGTGAAATGAATGCATCCATCACAGAGAAGTTTCTCAGAATGCTTCAGTCTCGTTTTCATGTGAAGAAGATTCCTTTTCCACCATATTCCTCATGTGCTCCAAATAAACACTTGCAGATTCCGCTAAAAGAGTGTTTCAAAACTGCTCAATCAAAAGAAAGGTTCTAGTCGGTGAGATGAATGCACACATCACAAAGAAGTTTCTATGAATGTTTCTGTCTGATTTATATTGAAGATATTTCCTTTTTCACCGTAGGCCTCAGAGTGCTTAAAATATCCATTTGCAGATACTAGAAAAGACTGTTTCCAAACTGCTCAATCAAAGTAAAGTTCAACTCAGTGAGATGAATGCACACATCACCAAGACGTTTCTGAGAAAGATTCTGTCTCGTTTTTATGTGAAGATATTTCCTGTTTCCCCAGAGGCATCAATGGGCTCACAAATATTCCTTTGCATATTCTACAAAATGACTGTTCAGAAGGTGCTCAATCAAAAAAAAAGTTCAACAGTGTGAGATGAATGCGCCCATTCAAAGGAAGTTTCTCAGAATTCTTCTATCTAGTTTTTATGTGAAGATATTTCCTTTTTCACTATAGGCCACAAAGTGCTCCAAATATCCACTTGCAGACTCTACAAAACGAGTGTATCCACACTGCTCAATCAAAAGAAAATTTCAACTGTGTGAGATGAATGCACACATCAAAATAAATTTCTCCAAAACTTCTGCCTACTTTTTATGGGAAGATATTTCGTTTTTCAACGTAGGCCAAAAGCACTCCAAATATCAATTTGCAGATTCTACAAAAAGACTGTTTCCAAACTGCTCAATCAAGAGAAAGTTTCAACCCGGTGAGTAGAAGTCACACATGACAAAATAGTTTCTCAGAAAGTATCTGTCTAGTTTTTATGTGAAGATATTTCCTATCACCCCAGAAGCCTCAATGGGCTCACAAATATTCCTTTGCAGATTCTACAAAACGACAGTTTCAAAACTGCTGAATCAAAAGAAAGGTTCAACTCTGTGAGATGAATGCACAGATCACAAATAAGTTTCTCAGAATGCTGCTGTCTAGTTTTTATGGGAAGATAATTCCTTTTCCACCATAGGCCTCAAAGCTCTCCAAATAGCCATTTGCAGATACTGTAAAAAGACTGTTTCCAAACTGCTGAATCAAAAGAAAGGTTGAACTCCATGAGTTGAATGCACACGTCACAAAGAAGTTTCTCAGAATGGTTCTGACTAGTTTTTATGTGAAGATATTTTCTTTTCCACCATAGGCCTCAAAGCGCTGAAAATATCCACTTGAAGATTCTACAGAAAGAGAGTTTCAAAACTGCTCAAACAAAAGAAAGATTCAACTCCGTGAGATGAATGCACACATCACAAAGAAGTTTCTCAGAATGCTTCTGTCTAGTTTTATGTAAAGATATTTCCTTTTCTACTATAGGCCACAAAGCACTCCAAATATCAACTTGCAGATTCTGCAGAAAGAGATTTTCAAAGCTGCTCAATCAAAAGAAAAGTTCAACTCTTTGAGATGAATGCACACATCATGAAGTTCCTCAGAATGCTTCTATTTTTATGTGAAGATATATCCTTTTCTACCATAGACCACAAAACGCTCCAAATATCCCCTTGCAGTTTCTACTAAAAGAGTGTTTCCAAACGGCTCAATCAAAAGAAAGTTTCAACTCTGTGAGATGAATGCACACATCATTAAGAAGTTTCTCAGTAATTTTCTGTCTAGTTTTTATGTGAAGATATTTCCTTTCCTACTATAGGCATGAAAGTGCTGCAAATATCCGTTTGCAGATACTGCAAAAAGACTGTTTCCACACTGCTCAATCAAAGGAAATGTCCAACTCTTTGAGTTGAATGCATGCATCTCGAAGAGATTACTTATAATGATTCTGTCTAGTTTTGATGTGAAGATATTTGCTTTTCCACCAGTGGCCTCAAATTCTCCAAATATCCACTTGCAGATTCTACAATAAGAGTGTTTCAAAACTGCTCAATCAAAAGAAAGGTTCAACACTGTGAGATGAATGCACACGTCACAAAGCACTTTCTTAGAATGCTTCTGTCTAGCTTTTATGTGAAGATATTTCCTTTTTCACCATAGGCTGTAAAGCACTCCAAATATCCCTTTCAGATTCTACAGAAAGAGTATTTCAAAACTGTTCAATCAAAAGAGAAACTCAACTCTGGTGATGAATGCACGCATCACAAAGCAGTTTCTCATAATGTTTCTGTCTAGTTTTTATGTGAAGATATTTCCTTTTCCACTATAGGCCGTAATGCACTCCTAATATCCACTTGCAGATTCTACAGAAAGACTGTTTGCAAACTGCTCAAACAAAAGAAAAGTTCAACTCTGTGAGTTGAATGAGCACATCACAAAGAAGTTTCTCAGAATGCTTCTGTCTAGTTTTTATGTGAATATATTTCCTTTTCCACTATACGCCGTCATGCGCTCCAAATATCCACTTGCAGATTCTACAAAAAGACTGATTCCAAACTGCTCAATCAAAAGAAAAGCTCAACTCTGTGAATTGAATGAGCACATCACAAAGAAGTTTCTCAGAATGCTTCTATCTAGTTTTTATGTGAATATATTTCCTTTTCCACCACAGGCCACAAACACTCCAAATATCCACTTGAAGATTCTACAAAAAGAGTGCTTCAAAAATGCTCAATCAAAAGAAAGGTTCAACTCTTTGAGATGGATGCACACATCACAAAGAAGCTTCTCAGAATGTTTCTGTCTAGTTTTTTTGTGAAGATATTTCCTTTTCCACCGTAGTCCTCAAGTCTCTCCAAATATCTACTTTCAGAATCTCCAAAAAGAGTGTTTTAAAACTGCTGTACCAAAGAAAGTTTCATGTCTGAGATATGACTGCATACAACACAGAGAAGTTTCTCAAAGTGCTTCTGTTTATTTTTTTTATGAAGATATTTCCTTTTCCACTATGGGCCACAGAGCGCTCCAAATATCGACTTGCAGATTCTACAAAAAGAGTGTTTCAAAACTGCTCAATCAATAGAAAGTTTGAAGTCTGTGAGATGAATGCACACATCACAAAGGAGTTTCTAAGAATGCTTCCATCTGAATTTTATGTGAGGATATTTCCTTTTTCACCATAGGCCTCAGTACACTCCAAATATCCATTTACAGATAATACAAATGACTGTATCCAAACTGCTCAATCAAAAGAAAGTTCAACTGTGTATGATGAAGGCACACATCACAAGGCTGTTTCTCAGAAAGATTTTGTCTAGTTTTTAGGTGAAGATATTTCTTATTTCCCCAGAGGCCTCAATTGGCTCTCAAATATTCCCTTTCATATTCTACTAAATGACTGTATCGAAGCTGCTCAATCAAAAGACGGGTTTAACAGTGTGAGACGAAAATACACCTTCCTAGGAAGTTTCTCAGAATTCTTCTTTCTAGTTTTTTATGTGAAGATATTTCCTTTTCCACTATAGGCCTCAAAGCGTTCCAAATATCCACTTGCAGATACCACAAATAGAGCGTTTCAAAACTGCTCAATCAAAAGAAATGTTCAACTCTGTGAGATGAATGCAGACATCAAAAAGAAGTTTCTCAGAATGCTTCCGCCTTGTTTTTATGTGAAGATATTTCCTTTTTCACCATAGGCCTCAAAGCACTGGTAATATCCATTTGCAGATATTACAAAAAGACTGCTCCCAAACTGCTCAATAAAAAGAAAGTTTCAACTCTAGGAGATAAAAGCAAATATCACAAAGAAGTTTCTCAGAAACTTTCTATCTAGTTTTTATGTGAACATATTTCTTATCACCCCATAGACCTCAATCGGCTCACAAGTATCCTTCTGCAGATTGTAAAAAACTACTGTTTCCAAACCGCTCAATCACAGGAAAGGTTTAACTCTGTGAAATGAATGCATCCATCACAGAGAAGTTTCTCAGAATGCTTCCGTCTCGTTTTCATGTGAAGAAGATTCCTTTTCCACCATATTCCTCATGCGCTCCAAATAAACACTTGCAGATTCCGCTAAAAGAGTGTTTCAAAACTGCTCAATCAAAAGAAAGGTTCTAGTCGGTGAGATGAATGCACACATCACAAAGAAGTTTCTATGAATGCTTCTGTCTGATTTATATTGAAGATATTTCCTTTTTCACCGTAGGCCTCAGAGTGCTTAAAATATCCATTTGCAGATACTAGAAAAGACACTTTCCAAACTGCTCAATCAAAATAAAGTTCAACTCAGTGAGATGAATGCAAACATGACCAAGACGTTTCTGAGAAAGATTCTGTCTCGTTTTTATGTGAAGATATTTCCTGTTTCCCCAGAGGCATCAATGGGCTCACAAATATTCCTTTGTAAATTCTACAAAATGACTCTTTAGAAGGTGCTCAATCAAAAAAAAAGTTCAACAGTGTGAGATGAATGCGCCCATTCAAAGGAAGTTTCTCAGAATTCTTCTATCTAGTTTTTATGTGAAGATATTTCCTTTTTCACTATAGGCCACAAAGTGCTCCAAATATCCACTTGTAGACCCTACAAAACGAGTGTATCCACACTGCCCTATCAAAAGAAAATTTCAACTGTGTGAGATGAATGCACACATCTAAATAAATTTTTACAAAACTTCTGCCTACTTTTTAGGGGAAGATATTTCGTTTTTCAACGTAGGCCAAAAGCACTCCAAATATCAATTTGCAGATTCTACAAAAAGACTGTTTCCAAACTGCTCAATCAAGAGAAAGTTTCAACCCGGTGAGTAGAAGTCACACATGACAAAATAGTTTCTCAGGAAGTATCTGTCTAGTTTTTATGTGAAGATATTTCCTATCACCCCAGAAGCCTCAATGGGCTCACAAATATTCCTTTGCAGATTCTACAAAACGACAGTTTCAAAACTGCTGAATCAAAAGAAAGGTTCAACTCTGTGAGATGAATGCACAGATCACAAATAAGTTTCTCAGAATGCTGCTGTCTAGTTTTTATGGGAAGAGATTTCCTTTTCCACCATAGGCCTCAAAGCTCTCCAAATAGCCATTTGCAGATACTGTAAAAAGACTGTTTCCAAACTGCTGAATCAAAAGAAAGGTTGAACTCCATGAGTTGAATGCACACGTCACAAAGAAGTTTCTCAGAATGCTTCTGACTAGTTTTTATGTGAAGATAATTTCTTTTCCACCATAGGCCTCAAAGCGCTGAAAATATCCACTTGAAGATTCTACAGAAAGAGTTTCAAAACTGCTCAAACAAAAGAAAGATTCAACTCTGTGAGATGAATGCACACATCACAAAGAAGTTTCTCAGAATGCTTCTGTCTAGTTTTATGTAAAGATATTTCCTTTTCTACTGTAGGCCACAAAGCACTCCAAATATCAACTTGCAGATTCTGCAGAAAGAGATTTTCAAAGCTGCTCAATCAAAAGAAAAGTTCAACTCTTTGAGATGAATGCACACATCATGAAGTTCCTCAGAATGCTTCTATTTTTATGTGAAGATATATCCTTTTCTACCATAGACCACAAAACGCTCCAAATATCCCCTTGCAGTTTCTACTAAAAGAGTGTTTCCAAACAGCTCAATGGAAAGAAAGTTTCAACTCTGTGAGATGAATGCACACATCATTAAGGAGTTTCTCAGTAATTTTCTGTCTAGTTTTTATGTGAAGATATTTCCTTTCCTACTATAGGCCTGAAAGTGCTGCAAATATCCGTTTGCAGATACTGCAAAAAGACTGTTTCCACACTGCTCAATCAAAGAAATGTCCAACTCTGTGAGTTGAATGCACGCATCTCAAAGAGATTACTTATAATGATTCTGTCTAGTTTTGATGTGAAGATATTTGCTTTTCCACCAGTGGCCTCAAACTCTGCAAATATCCACTTGCAGATTCTACAATAAGAGTGTTTCAAAACTGCTCAATCAAAAGAAAGGTTCAACACTGTGAGATGAATGCACACGTCACAATGCACTTTCTTAGAATGCTTCTGTCTAGCTTTTATGGGAAGATGTTTCCTTTTACACCATAGGCTGCAAAGCGCTCCAAATATCCCTTTCAGATTCTACAGAAAGAGTGTTTCAAAACTCTTCAATCAAAAGAGAAACTCAACTCTGGTGATGAATGCACGCATCACAAAGCAGTTTCTCATAATGTTTCTGTCTAGTTTTTATGTGAAGATATTTCATTCTCCACTATAGGCCGTAATGCACTCCTAATATCCACTTGCAGATTCTACAAAAAGACTGTTTGCAAACTGCTCAAACAAAAGAAAAGATCAACTCTGTGAGTTGAATGAGCACATCACAAAGAGGTTTCTCTGAATGCTTCTGTCTAGTTTTTATGTGAATATATTTCCTTTTCCACTATAGGCCGTAATGCACTCCTAATATCCACTTGCAGATTCTACAAAAAGACTGTTTCCAAACTGCTCAATCAAAAGAAAAGCTCAACTCTGTGAGTTGTATGAGCACATCACAAAGAAGTTTCTCAGAATGCTTCTATCTAGTTTTTATGTGAATATATTTCCTTTTCCACCAGAGGCCACAAACACTCCAAATATCCACTTGAAGATTCTACAAAAAAAGTGCTTCAAAAATGCTCAATCAAAAGAAAGGTTCAACTCTTCGAGATGGACGCACACATCACAAAGAAGCTTCTCAGAATGTTTCTGTCTAGTTTTTTTGTGAAGATATTTCCTTTTCTAACGTAGTCCTCAAGTCTCTCCAAATATCTACTTTCAGAATCTCCAAAAAGAGTGTTTTAAAACTGCTGTACCAAAGAAAGCTTCATGTCTGAGATATGACTGCATACAACACAGAGAACTTTCTCAAAGTGCTTCTGTTTATTTTTCTTATGAAGATATTTCCTTTTCCACTATGGGCCACAGAGCGCTCCAAATATCCACTGGCAGATTCTACAAAAGAGTGTTTCAAAACTGCTCAATCAATAGAAAGTTTGAAGTCTGTGAGATGAATGTACACATCACAAAGGAGTTTCTAAGAATGCTTCCATCTGGATTTTATGTGAGGATATTTCCTTTTTCACCATAGGCCTCAATACACTCCAAATATCCATTTACAGATAATACAAATGACTGTATCCAAACTGCTCAATCAAAAGAAAGTTCAACTGTGCATGATGAATGCACACATCACAAGGGTGTTTCTCAGAAAGAATTTGTCTTGTTTTTAGGTGAAGATATTTCTTATTTCCCCAGAGGCCTCAATGGGCTCTCAAATATTACCTTTCATATTCTACTAAATGACTGTATCGAAGCTGCTCAATCAAAAGACGGGTTTAACAGTGTGAGACGAAAATACACCTTCCTAGGAAGTTTCTCAGAATTCTTCTTTCTAGTTTTTTATGTGAAGATATTTCCTTTTCCACTATAGGCCTCAAAGCGTTCCAAATATCCACTTGCAGATACTACAAATAGAGCGTTTCAAAACTGCTCAATCAAAAGAAAGGTTCAACTCTGTGAGATGAATGCATACATCAAAAAGAAGTTTCTCAGAATGCTTCCGCCTTGTTTTTATGTGAAGATATTTCCTTTTTCACCATAGGCCTCAAAGCACTGGTAATATCCATTTGCAGATACTACAAAAAGACTGTTCCCAAACTGCTCAATAAAAAGAAAGTTTCAACTCTAGGAGATAAAAGCAAATATCACAAAGAAGTTTCTCAGAAACTTTCTATCTAGTTTTTATGTGAACATATTTCTTATCACCCCATAGACCTCAATCGGCTCACAAGTATCCTTCTGCAGATTGTAAAAAACTACTGTTTCCAAACCGCTCAATCACAGGAAAGGTTTAACTCTGTGAAATGAATGCATCCATCACAGAGAAGTTTCTCAGAATGCTTCCGTCTCGTTTTCATGTGAAGAAGATTCCTTTTCCACCATATTCCTCATGCGCTCCAAATAAACACTTGCAGATTCCGCTAAAAGAGTGTTTCAAAACTGCTCAACCAAAAGAAAGGTTCTAGTCGGTGAGATGAATGCACACATCACAAAGAAGTTTCTATGAATGCTTCTGTCTGATTTATATTGAAGATATTTCCTTTTTCACCGTAGGCCTCAGAGTGCTTAAAATATCCATTTGCAGATACTAGAAAAGACTGTTTCCAAACTGCTCAATCAAAATAAAGTTCAACTCAGTGAGATGAATGCACACATCACCAAGACGTTTCTGAGAAAGATTCTGTCTCGTTTTTATGTGAAGATATTTCCTGTTTCCCCAGAGGCATCAATGGGCTCACAAATATTCCTTTGCATATTCTACAAAATGACTGTTTAGAAGGTGCTCAATCAAAAAAAAAGTTCAACAGTGTGAGATGAATGCGCCCATTCAAAGGAAGTTTCTCAGAATTCTTCTATCTAGTTTTTATGTGAAGATATTTCCTTTTTCACTATAGGCCACAAAGTGCTCCAAATATCCACTTGCAGACTCTACGAAACGAGTGTATCCACACTGCTCAATCAAAAGAAAATTTCAACTGTGTGAGATGAATGCACACATCAAAATAAATTTCTCCAAAACTTCTGCCTACTTTTTATGGGAAGATATTTCGTTTTTCAACGTAGGCCAAAAGCACTCCAAATATCAATTTGCAGATTCTACAAAAAGACTGTTTCCAAACTGCTCAATCAACAGAAAGTTTCAACCCGGTGAGTAGAAGTCACACATGACAAAATAGTTTCTCAGAAAGTATCTGTCTAGTTTTTACGTGAAGATATTTCCTATCACCCCAGAAGCCTCAATGGGCTCACAATATTCCTTTGCAGATTCTACAAAACGACAGTTTCAAAACTGCTGAATCAAAAGAAAGGTTCAACTCTGGGAGATGAATGCACAGATCACAAATAAGTTTCTCAGAATGCTGCTGTCTAGTTTTAATGGGAAGAGATTTCCTTTTCCACCATAGGCCTCAAAGCTCTCCAAATAGCCATTTGCAGATACTGTAAAAAGACTGTTTCCAAACTGCTGAATCAAAAGAAAGGTTGAACTCCATGAGTTGAATGCACACGTCATAAAGAAGTTTCTCAGAATGGTTCTGACTAGTTTTTATGTGAAGATATTTTCTTTTCCACCATAGGCCTCAAAGCGCTGAAAATATTCACTTGAAGATTCTACAGAAAGAGAGTTTCAAAACTGCTCAAACAAAAGAAAGATTCAACTCTGTGAGATGAATGCACACATCACAAAGAAGTTTCTCAGAATGCTTCTGTCTAGTTTTATGTAAAGATATTTCCTTTTCTACTATAGGCCACAAAGCACTCCAAATATCAACTTGCAGATTCTGCAGAAAGAGTTTTTCAAAGCTGCTCAATCAAAAGAAAAGTTCAACTCTTTGAGATGAATGCACACATCATGAAGTTCCTCAGAATGCTTCTATTTTTATGTGAACATATCCTTTTCTACCATAGACCACAAAACGCTCCAAATATCCCCTTGCAGTTTCTACTAAAAGAGTGTTTCCAAACGGCTCAATCAAAAGAAAGTTTCAACGCTGTGAGATGAATGCACACATCATTAAGAAGTGTCTCAGTAATTTTCTGTCTAGTTTTTATGTGAAGATATTTCCTTTCCTACTATAGGCCTGAAAGTGCTGCAAATATCCGTTTGCAGATACTGCAAAAAGACTGTTTCCACACTGCTCAATCAAAGGAAATGTCCAACTCTGTGAGTTGAATGCACGCATCTCAAAGAGATTACTTATAATGATTCTGTCTAGTTTTGATGTGAAGATATTTGCTTTTCCACCAGTGGCCTCAAACTCTCCAAATATCCACTTGCAGATTCTACAATAAGAGTGTTTCAAAACTGCTCAATCAAAAGAAAGGTTCAACACTGTGAGATGAATGCACACGTCACAAAGCACTTTCTTAGAATGCTTCTGTCTAGCTTTTATGTGAAGATATTTCCTTTTTCACCATAGGCTGCAAAGCGCTCCAAATATCCCTTTCAGATTCTACAGAAAGAGTATTTCAAAACTGTTCAATCAAAAGAGAAACTCAACTCTGGTGATGAATGCACGCATCACAAAGCAGTTTCTCATAATGTTTCTGTCTAGTTTTTATGTGAAGATATTTCATTCTCCACTATAGGCCGTAATGCACTCCTAATATCCACTTGCAGATTCTACAAAAAGACTGTTTGCAAACTGCTCAAACAAAAGAAAAGTTCAACTCTGTGAGTTGAATGAGCACATCACAAAGAAGTTTCTCAGAATGCTTCTGTCTAGTTTTTATGTGAATATATTTCCTTTTCCACTATAGGCTGTCATGCGCTCCAAATATCCACTTGCAGATTCTACAAAAAGACTGTTTCCAAACTGCTCAATCAAAAGAAAAGCTCAACTCTGTGAGTTGAATGAGCACATCACAAAGAAGTTTCTCAGAATGCTTCTGTCTAGTTTTCATGTGAATATATTTCCTTTTCCACTATAGGCCGTCATGCGCTCCAAATATCCACTGGCAGATTCTACAAAAAGACTGTTTCCAAACTGCTCAATCAAAAGAAAATCTCAACTCTGTGAGTTGAATGAGCACATCACAAAAAAGTTTCTCAGAATGCTTCTATCTAGTTTTTATGTGAATATATTTCCTTTTCCACCACAGGCCACAAACCCTCCAAATATCCACTTGAAGATTCTACAAAAAGAGTGCTTCAAAAATGCTCAATCAAAAGAAAGGTTCAACTCTTCGATATGGACGCACACATCACAAAGAAGCTTCTCAGAATGTTTCTGTCTAGTTTTTTTGTGAAGATATTTCCTTTTCCACCGTAGTCCTCAAGTCTCTCCAAATATCTACTTTCAGAATCTCCAAAAAGAGTGTTTCAAAACTGCTGTACCAAAGAAAGTTTCATGTCTGATTTATGACTGCATACAACACAGAGAACTTTCTCAAAGTGCTTCTGTTTATTTTTCTTATGAAGATATTTCCTTTTCCACTATGGGCCACAGAGCGCTCCAAATATCCACTGGCAGATTCTACAAAAAGAGTGTTTCAAAACTGCTCAATCAATAGAAAGTTTGAAGTCTGTGAGATGAATGTACACATCACAAAGGAGTTTCTAAGAATGCTTCCATCTGAATTTTATGTGAGGATATTTCCTTTCTCACCATAGGCCTCAGTACACTCCAAACATCCATTTACAGATAATACAAATGACTGTATCCAAACTGCTCAATCAAAAGAAAGTTCAACTGTGTATGATGAATGCACACATCACAAGGGTGTTTCTCAGAAAGATTTTGTCTAGTTTTTAGGTGAAGATATTTCTTATTTCCCCAGAGGCCTCAATGGGCTCTCAAATATTCCCTTTCATATTCTACTAAATGGCTGTATCGAAGCTGCTCAATCAAAAGACGGGTTTAACAGTGTGAGACGAAAATACACCTTCCTAGGAAGTTTCTCAGAATTCTTCTTTCTAGTTTTTTATGTGAAGATATTTCCTTTTCCACTATAGGCCTCAAAGCGTTCCAAATATCCACTTGCAGATACTACAAATAGAGCTTCTCAAAACTGCTCAATCAAAAGAAAGGTTCAACTCTGAGAGATGAATGCAGACATCAAATATAAGTTTCTCAGAATGCTTCTGCCTTGTTTTTATGTGAAGATATTTCCTTTTCCACCATAGGCCTCAAAGCACTGGTAATATCCATTTGTAGATACTACAAAAAGACTGTTCCCAAACTTCTCAATAAAAAGAAAGTTTCAACTCTAGGAGATAAAAGCAAATATCACAAAGAAGTTTCTCAGAAACTTTCTATCTAGTTTTTATGTGAACATATTTCTTATCACCCCATAGACCTCAATCGGCTCACAAGTATCCTTCTGCAGATTGTAAAAAACTACTGTTTCCAAACCGCTCAATCACAGGAAAGGTTTAACTCTGTGAAATGAATGCATCCATCACAGAGAAGTTTCTCAGAATGCTTCCGTCTCGTTTTCATGTGAAGAAGATTCCTTTTCCACCATATTCCTCATGCGCTCCAAATAAACACTTGCAGATTCCGCTAAAAGAGTGTTTCAAAACTGCTCAATCAAAAGAAAGGTTCTAGTCGGTGAGATGAATGCACACATCACAAAGAAGTTTCTATGAATGCTTCTGTCTGATTTATATTGAAGATATTTCCTTTTTCACCGTAGGCCTCAGAGTGCTTAAAATATCCATTTGCAGATACTAGAAAAGACTGTTTCCAAACTGCTCAATCAAAATAAAGTTCAACTCAGTGAGATGAATGCACACATCACCAAGACGTTTCTGAGAAAGATTCTGTCTCGTTTTTATGTGAAGATATTTCCTGTTTCCCCAGAGGCATCAATGGGCTCACAAATATTCCTTTGCATATTCTACAAAATGACTGTTTAGAAGGTGCTCAATCAAAAAAAAAGTTCAACAGTGTGAGATGAATGCGCCCATTCAAAGGAAGTTTCTCAGAATTCTTCTATCTAGTTTTTATGTGAAGATATTTCCTTTTTCACTATAGGCCACAAAGTGCTCCAAATATCCACTTGCAGACTCTACGAAACGAGTGTATCCACACTGCTCAATCAAAAGAAAATTTCAACTGTGTGAGATGAATGCACACATCAAAATAAATTTCTCCAAAACTTCTGCCTACTTTTTATGGGAAGATATTTCGTTTTTCAACGTAGGCCAAAAGCGCTCCAAATATCAATTTGCAGATTCTACAAAAAGACTGTTTCCAAACTGCTCAATCAACAGAAAGTTTCAACCCGGTGAGTAGAAGTCACACATGACAAAATAGTTTCTCAGAAAGTATCTGTCTAGTTTTTACGTGAAGATATTTCCTATCACCCCAGAAGCCTCAATGGGCTCACAATATTCCTTTGCAGATTCTACAAAACGACAGTTTCAAAACTGCTGAATCAAAAGAAAGGTTCAACTCTGGGAGATGAATGCACAGATCACAAATAAGTTTCTCAGAATGCTGCTGTCTAGTTTTAATGGGAAGAGATTTCCTTTTCCACCATAGACCTCAAAGCTCTCCAAATAGCCATTTGCAGATACTGTAAAAAGACTGTTTCCAAACTGCTGAATCAAAAGAAAGGTTGAACTCCATGAGTTGAATGCACACGTCATAAAGAAGTTTCTCAGAATGGTTCTGACTAGTTTTTATGTGAAGATATTTTCTTTTCCACCATAGGCCTCAAAGCGCTGAAAATATTCACTTGAAGATTCTACAGAAAGAGAGTTTCAAAACTGCTCAAACAAAAGAAAGATTCAACTCTGTGAGATGAATGCACACATCACAAAGAAGTTTCTCAGAATGCTTCTGTCTAGTTTTATGTAAAGATATTTCCTTTTCTACTATAGGCCACAAAGCACTCCAAATATCAACTTGCAGATTCTGCAGAAAGAGTTTTTCAAAGCTGCTCAATCAAAAGAAAAGTTCAACTCTTTGAGATGAATGCACACATCATGAAGTTCCTCAGAATGCTTCTATTTTTATGTGAACATATCCTTTTCTACCATAGACCACAAAACGCTCCAAATATCCCCTTGCAGTTTCTACTAAAAGAGTGTTTCCAAACGGCTCAATCAAAAGAAAGTTTCAACGCTGTGAGATGAATGCACACATCATTAAGAAGTGTCTCAGTAATTTTCTGTCTAGTTTTTATGTGAAGATATTTCCTTTCCTACTATAGGCCTGAAAGTGCTGCAAATATCCGTTTGCAGATACTGCAAAAAGACTGTTTCCACACTGCTCAATCAAAGGAAATGTCCAACTCTGTGAGTTGAATGCACGCATCTCAAAGAGATTACTTATAATGATTCTGTCTAGTTTTGATGTGAAGATATTTGCTTTTCCACCAGTGGCCTCAAACTCTCCAAATATCCACTTGCAGATTCTACAATAAGAGTGTTTCAAAACTGCTCAATCAAAAGAAAGGTTCAACACTGTGAGATGAATGCACACGTCACAAAGCACTTTCTTAGAATGCTTCTGTCTAGCTTTTATGTGAAGATATTTCCTTTTTCACCATAGGCTGCAAAGCGCTCCAAATATCCCTTTCAGATTCTACAGAAAGAGTATTTCAAAACTGTTCAATCAAAAGAGAAACTCAACTCTGGTGATGAATGCACGCATCACAAAGCAGTTTCTCATAATGTTTCTGTCTAGTTTTTATGTGAAGATATTTCATTCTCCACTATAGGCCGTAATGCACTCCTAATATCCACTTGCAGATTCTACAAAAAGACTGTTTGCAAACTGCTCAAACAAAAGAAAAGTTCAACTCTGTGAGTTGAATGAGCACATCACAAAGAAGTTTCTCAGAATGCTTCTGTCTAGTTTTTATGTGAATATATTTCCTTTTCCACTATAGGCTGTCATGCGCTCCAAATATCCACTTGCAGATTCTACAAAAAGACTGTTTCCAAACTGCTCAATCAAAAGAAAAGCTCAACTCTGTGAGTTGAATGAGCACATCACAAAGAAGTTTCTCAGAATGCTTCTGTCTAGTTTTCATGTGAATATATTTCCTTTTCCACTATAGGCCGTCATGCGCTCCAAATATCCACTGGCAGATTCTACAAAAAGACTGTTTCCAAACTGCTCAATCAAAAGAAAATCTCAACTCTGTGAGTTGAATGAGCACATCACAAAAAAGTTTCTCAGAATGCTTCTATCTAGTTTTTATGTGAATATATTTCCTTTTCCACCACAGGCCACAAACCCTCCAAATATCCACTTGAAGATTCTACAAAAAGAGTGCTTCAAAAATGCTCAATCAAAAGAAAGGTTCAACTCTTCGATATGGACGCACACATCACAAAGAAGCTTCTCAGAATGTTTCTGTCTAGTTTTTTTGTGAAGATATTTCCTTTTCCACCGTAGTCCTCAAGTCTCTCCAAATATCTACTTTCAGAATCTCCAAAAAGAGTGTTTCAAAACTGCTGTACCAAAGAAAGTTTCATGTCTGATTTATGACTGCATACAACACAGAGAACTTTCTCAAAGTGCTTCTGTTTATTTTTCTTATGAAGATATTTCCTTTTCCACTATGGGCCACAGAGCGCTCCAAATATCCACTGGCAGATTCTACAAAAAGAGTGTTTCAAAACTGCTCAATCAATAGAAAGTTTGAAGTCTGTGAGATGAATGTACACATCACAAAGGAGTTTCTAAGAATGCTTCCATCTGAATTTTATGTGAGGATATTTCCTTTCTCACCATAGGCCTCAGTACACTCCAAACATCCATTTACAGATAATACAAATGACTGTATCCAAACTGCTCAATCAAAAGAAAGTTCAACTGTGTATGATGAATGCACACATCACAAGGGTGTTTCTCAGAAAGATTTTGTCTAGTTTTTAGGTGAAGATATTTCTTATTTCCCCAGAGGCCTCAATGGGCTCTCAAATATTCCCTTTCATATTCTACTAAATGGCTGTATCGAAGCTGCTCAATCAAAAGACGGGTTTAACAGTGTGAGACGAAAATACACCTTCCTAGGAAGTTTCTCAGAATTCTTCTTTCTAGTTTTTTATGTGAAGATATTTCCTTTTCCACTATAGGCCTCAAAGCGTTCCAAATATCCACTTGCAGATACTACAAATAGAGCTTCTCAAAACTGCTCAATCAAAAGAAAGGTTCAACTCTGAGAGATGAATGCAGACATCAAATATAAGTTTCTCAGAATGCTTCTGCCTTGTTTTTATGTGAAGATATTTCCTTTTTCACCATAGGCCTCAAAGCACTGGTAATATCCATTTGTAGATACTACAAAAAGACTGTTCCCAAACTTCTCAATAAAAAGAAAGTTTCAACTCTAGGAGATAAAAGCAAATATCACAAAGAAGTTTCTCAGAAACTTTCTATCTAGTTTTTATGTGAACATATTTCTTATCACCCCATAGACCTCAATCGGCTCACAAGTATCCTTCTGCAGATTGTAAAAAACTACTGTTTCCAAACCGCTCAATCACAGGAAAGGTTTAACTCTGTGAAATGAATGCATCCATCACAGAGAAGTTTCTCAGAATGCTTCCGTCTCGTTTTCATGTGAAGAAGATTCCTTTTCCACCATATTCCTCATGCGCTCCAAATAAACACTTGCAGATTCCGCTAAAAGAGTGTTTCAAAACTGCTCAATCAAAAGAAAGGTTCTAGTCGGTGAGATGAATGCACACATCACAAAGAAGTTTCTATGAATGCTTCTGTCTGATTTATATTGAAGATATTTCCTTTTTCACCGTAGGCCTCAGAGTGCTTAAAATATCCATTTGCAGATACTAGAAAAGACTGTTTCCAAACTGCTCAATCAAAGTAAAGTTCAACTCAGTGAGATGAATGCACACATCACCAAGACGTTTCTGAGAAAGATTCTGTCTCGTTTTTATGTGAAGATATTTCCTGTTTCCCCAGAGGCATCAATGGGCTCACAAATATTCCTTTGCATATTCTACAAAATGACTGTTTAGAAGGTGCTCAATCAAAAAAAAAGTTCAACAGTGTGAGATGAATGCGCCCATTCAAAGGAAGTTTCTCAGAATTCTTCTATCTAGTTTTTATGTGAAGATATTTCCTTTTTCACTATAGGCCACAAAGTGCTCCAAATATCCACTTGCAGACTCTACGAAACGAGTGTATCCACACTGCTCAATCAAAAGAAAATTTCAACTGTTTGAGATGAATGCACACATCAAAATAAATTTCTCCAAAACTTCTGCCTACTTTTTATGGGAAGATATTTCGTTTTTCAACGTAGGCCAAAAGCACTCCAAATATCAATTTGCAGATTCTACAAAAAGACTGTTTCCAAACTGCTCAATCAACAGAAAGTTTCAACCCGGTGAGTAGAAGTCACACATGACAAAATAGTTTCTCAGAAAGTATCTGTCTAGTTTTTACGTGAAGATATTTCCTATCACCCCAGAAGCCTCAATGGGCTCACAAATATTCCTTTGCAGATTCTACAAAAAGGCAGTTTCAAAACTGCTGAATCAAAAGAAAGGTTCAACTCTGGGAGATGAATGCACAGATCACAAATAAGTTTCTCAGAATGCTGCTGTCTAGTTTTAATGGGAAGAGATTTCCTTTTCCACCATAGGCCTCAAAGCTCTCCAAATAGCCATTTGCAGATACTGTAAAAAGACTGTTTCCAAACTGCTGAATCAAAAGAAAGGTTGAACTCCATGAGTTGAATGCACACGTCATAAAGAAGTTTCTCAGAATGGTTCTGACTAGTTTTTATGTGAAGATATTTTCTTTTCCACCATAGGCCTCAAAGCGCTGAAAATATTCACTTGAAGATTCTACAGAAAGAGAGTTTCAAAACTGCTCAAACAAAAGAAAGATTCAACTCTGTGAGATGAATGCACACATCACAAAGAAGTTTCTCAGAATGCTTCTGTCTAGTTTTATGTAAAGATATTTCCTTTTCTACTATAGGCCACAAAGCACTCCAAATATCAACTTGCAGATTCTGCAGAAAGAGTTTTTCAAAGCTGCTCAATCAAAAGAAAAGTTCAACTCTTTGAGATGAATGCACACATCATGAAGTTCCTCAGAATGCTTCTATTTTTATGTGAACATATCCTTTTCTACCATAGACCACAAAACGCTCCAAATATCCCCTTGCAGTTTCTACTAAAAGAGTGTTTCCAAACGGCTCAATCAAAAGAAAGTTTCAACGCTGTGAGATGAATGCACACATCATTAAGAAGTGTCTCAGTAATTTTCTGTCTAGTTTTTATGTGAAGATATTTCCTTTCCTACTATAGGCCTGAAAGTGCTGCAAATATCCGTTTGCAGATACTGCAAAAAGACTGTTTCCACACTGCTCAATCAAAGGAAATGTCCAACTCTGTGAGTTGAATGCACGCATCTCAAAGAGATTACTTATAATGATTCTGTCTAGTTTTGATGTGAAGATATTTGCTTTTCCACCAGTGGCCTCAAACTCTCCAAATATCCACTTGCAGATTCTACAATAAGAGTGTTTCAAAACTGCTCAATCAAAAGAAAGGTTCAACACTGTGAGATGAATGCACACGTCACAAAGCACTTTCTTAGAATGCTTCTGTCTAGCTTTTATGTGAAGATATTTCCGTTTTCACCATAGGCTGCAAAGCGCTCCAAATATCCCTTTCAGATTCTACAGAAAGAGTATTTCAAAACTGTTCAATCAAAAGAGAAACTCAACTCTGGTGATGAATGCACGCATCACAAAGCAGTTTCTCATAATGTTTCTGTCTAGTTTTTATGTGAAGATATTTCATTCTCCACTATAGGCCGTAATGCACTCCTAATATCCACTTGCAGATTCTACAAAAAGACTGTTTGCAAACTGCTCAAACAAAAGAAAAGTTCAACTCTGTGAGTTGAATGAGCACATCACAAAGAAGTTTCTCAGAATGCTTCTGTCTAGTTTGTATGTGAATATATTTCCTTTTCCACTATAGGCCGTCATGCGCTCCAAATATCCACTTGCAGATTCTACAAAAAGACTGTTTCCAAACTGCTCAATCAAAAGAAAAGCTCAACTCTGTGAGTTGAATGAGCACATCACAAAGAAGTTTCTCAGAATGCTTCTGTCTAGTTTTCATGTGAATATATTTCCTTTTCCACTATAGGCCGTCATGCGCTCCAAATATCCACTGGCAGATTCTACAAAAAGACTGTTTCCAAACTGCTCAATCAAAAGAAAATCTCAACTCTGTGAGTTGAATGAGCACATCACAAAAAAGTTTCTCAGAATGCTTCTATCTAGTTTTTATGTGAATATATTTCCTTTTCCACCACAGGCCACAAACCCTCCAAATATCCACTTGAAGATTCTACAAAAAGAGTGCTTCAAAAATGCTCAATCAAAAGAAAGGTTCAACTCTTCGATATGGACGCACACATCACAAAGAAGCTTCTCAGAATGTTTCTGTCTAGTTTTTTTGTGAAGATATTTCCTTTTCCACCGTAGTCCTCAAGTCTCTCCAAATATCTACTTTCAGAATCTCCAAAAAGAGTGTTTCAAAACTGCTGTACCAAAGAAAGTTTCATGTCTGATTTATGACTGCATACAACACAGAGAACTTTCTCAAAGTGCTTCTGTTTATTTTTCTTATGAAGATATTTCCTTTTCCACTATGGGCCACAGAGCGCTCCAAATATCCACTGGCAGATTCTACAAAAAGAGTGTTTCAAAACTGCTCAATCAATAGAAAGTTTGAAGTCTGTGAGATGAATGTACACATCACAAAGGAGTTTCTAAGAATGCTTCCATCTGAATTTTATGTGAGGATATTTCCTTTCTCACCATAGGCCTCAGTACACTCCAAACATCCATTTACAGATAATACAAATGACTGTATCCAAACTGCTCAATCAAAAGAAAGTTCAACTGTGTATGATGAATGCACACATCACAAGGGTGTTTCTCAGAAAGATTTTGTCTAGTTTTTAGGTGAAGATATTTCTTATTTCCCCAGAGGCCTCAATGGGCTCTCAAATATTCCCTTTCATATTCTACTAAATGGCTGTATCGAAGCTGCTCAATCAAAAGACGGGTTTAACAGTGTGAGACGAAAATACACCTTCCTAGGAAGTTTCTCAGAATTCTTCTTTCTAGTTTTTTATGTGAAGATATTTCCTTTTCCACTATAGGCCTCAAAGCGTTCCAAATATCCACTTGCAGATACTACAAATAGAGCTTCTCAAAACTGCTCAATCAAAAGAAAGGTTCAACTCTGAGAGATGAATGCAGACATCAAATATAAGTTTCTCAGAATGCTTCTGCCTTGTTTTTATGTGAAGATATTTCCTTTTCCACCATAGGCCTCAAAGCACTGGTAATATCCATTTGTAGATACTACAAAAAGACTGTTCCCAAACTTCTCAATAAAAAGAAAGTTTCAACTCTAGGAGATAAAAGCAAATATCACAAAGAAGTTTCTCAGAAACTTTCTATCTAGTTTTTATGTGAACATATTTCTTATCACCCCATAGACCTCAATCGGCTCACAAGTATCCTTCTGCAGATTGTAAAAAACTACTGTTTCCAAACCGCTCAATCACAGGAAAGGTTTAACTCTGTGAAATGAATGCATCCATCACAGAGAAGTTTCTCAGAATGCTTCCGTCTCGTTTTCATGTGAAGAAGATTCCTTTTCCACCATATTCCTCATGCGCTCCAAATAAACACTTGCAGATTCCGCTAAAAGAGTGTTTCAAAACTGCTCAATCAAAAGAAAGGTTCTAGTCGGTGAGATGAATGCACACATCACAAAGAAGTTTCTATGAATGCTTCTGTCTGATTTATATTGAAGATATTTCCTTTTTCACTGTAGGCCTCAGAGTGCTTAAAATATCCATTTGCAGATACTAGAAAAGACTGTTTCCAAACTGCTCAATCAAAATAAAGTTCAACTCAGTGAGATGAATGCACACATCACCAAGACGTTTCTGAGAAAGATTCTGTCTCGTTTTTATGTGAAGATATTTCCTGTTTCCCCAGAGGCATCAATGGGCTCACAAATATTCCTTTGCATATTCTACAAAATGACTGTTTAGAAGGTGCTCAATGAAAAAAAAAGTTCAACAGTGTGAGATGAATGCGCCCATTCAAAGGAAGTTTCTCAGAATTCTTCTATCTAGTTTTTATGTGAAGATATTTCCTTTTTCACTATAGGCCACAAAGTGCTCCAAATATCCACTTGCAGACTCTACGAAACGAGTGTATCCACACTGCTCAAACAAAAGAAAATTTCAACTGTTTGAGATGAATGCACACATCAAAATAAATTTCTCCAAAACTTCTGCCTACTTTTTATGGGAAGATATTTCGTTTTTCAACGTAGGCCAAAAGCACTCCAAATATCAATTTGCAGATTCTACAAAAAGACTGTTTCCAAACTGCTCAATCAACAGAAAGTTTCAACCCGGTGAGTAGAAGTCACACATGACAAAATAGTTTCTCAGAAAGTATCTGTCTAGTTTTTACGTGAAGATATTTCCTATCACCCCAGAAGCCTCAATGGGCTCACAAATATTCCTTTGCAGATTCTACAAAAAGGCAGTTTCAAAACTGCTGAATCAAAAGAAAGGTTCGACTCTGGGAGATGAATGCACAGATCACAAATAAGTTTCTCAGAATGCTGCTGCCTAGTTTTAATGGGAAGAGATTTCCTTTTCCACCATAGGCCTCAAAGCTCTCCAAATAGCCATTTGCAGATACTGTAAAAAGACTGTTTCCAAACTGCTGAATCAAAAGAAAGGTTGAACTCCATGAGTTGAATGCACACGTCATAAAGAAGTTTCTCAGAATGGTTCTGACTAGTTTTTATGTGAAGATATTTTCTTTTCCACCATAGGCCTCAAAGCGCTGAAAATATCCACTTGAAGATTCTACAGAAAGAGAGTTTCAAAACTGCTCAAACAAAAGAAAGATTCAACTCTGTGAGATGAATGCACACATCACAAAGAAGTTTCTCAGAATGCTTCTGTCTAGTTTTATGTAAAGATATTTCCTTTTCTACTATAGGCCACAAAGCACTCCAAATATCAACTTGCAGATTCTGCAGAAAGAGTTTTTCAAAGCTGCTCAGTCAAAAGACAAGTTCAACTCTTTGAGATGAATGCACACATCATGAAGTTCCTCAGAATGCTTCTATTTTTATGTGAAGATATATCCTTTTCTACCATAGACCACAAAACGCTCCAAATATCCCCTTGCAGTTTCTACTAAAAGAGTGTTTCCAAACGGCTCAATCAAAAGAAAGTTTCAACTCTGTGAGATGAATGCACACAACATTAAGTAGTGTCTCAGTAATTTTCTGTCTAGTTTTTATGTGAAGATATTTCCTTTCCTACTATAGGCCTGAAAGTGCTGCAAATATCCGTTTGCAGATACTGCAAAAAGACTGTTTCCACACTGCTCAATCAAAGGAAATGTCCAACTCTGTGAGTTGAATGCACGCATCTCAAAGAGATTACTTCTAATGATTCTGTCTAGTTTTGATGTGAAGATATTTGCTTTTCCACCAGTGGCCTCAAACTCTCCAAATATCCACTTGCAGATTCTACAATAAGAGTGTTTCAAAACTGCTCAATCAAAGAAAGGTTCAACACTGTGAGATGAATGCACACGTCACAAAGCACTTTCTTAGAATGCTTCTGTCTAGCTTTTATGTGAAGATATTTCCTTTTTCACCATAGGCTGCAAAGCGCTCCAAATATCCCTTTCAGATTCTACAGAAAGAGTATTTCAAAACTGTTCAATCAAAAGAGAAACTCAACTCTGGTGATGAATGCACGCATCACAAAGCAGTTTCTCATAATGTTTCTGTCTAGTTTTTATGTGAAGATATTTCATTCTCCACTATAGGCCGTAATGCACTCCTAATATCCACTTGCAGATTCTACAAAAAGACTGTTTGCAAACTGCTCAAACAAAAGAAAAGTTCAACTCTGTGAGTTGAATGAGCACATCACAAAGAAGTTTCTCAGAATGCTTCTGTCTAGTTTTTATGTGAATATATTTCCTTTTCCACTATAGGCCATCATGCGCTCCAAATATCCACTTGCAGATTCTACAAAAAGACTGTTTCCAAACTGCTCAATCAAAAGAAAAGCTCAACTCTGTGAGTTCAATGAGCACATCACAAAGAAGTTTCTCAGAATGCTTCTATCTAGTTTTTATGTGAATATATTTCCTTTTCCACCACAGGCCACAAACCCTCCAAATATCCACTTGAAGATTCTACAAAAAGAGTGCTTCAAAAATGCTCAATCAAAAGAAAGGTTCAACTCTTCGAGATGGATGCACACATCACAAAGAAGCTTCTCAGAATGTTTCTGTCTAGTTTTTTTGTGAAGATATTTCCTTTTCCACCGTAGTCCTCAAGTCTCTCCAAATATCTACTTTCAGAATCTCCAAAAAGAGTGTTTTAAAACTGCTGTACCAAAGAAAGTTTCATGTCTGAGATATGACTGCATACAACACAGAGAAGTTTCTCAAAGTGCTTCTGTTTATTTTTTTTATGAAGATAATTCCTTTTCCACTATGGGCCACAGAGCGCTCCAAATATCGACTTGCAGATTCTACAAAAAGAGTGTTTCAAAACTGCTCAATCAATAGAAAGTTTGAAGTCTGTGAGATGAATGCACACACCACAAAGGAGTTTCTAAGAATGCTTCCATCTGAATTTTATGTGAGGATATTTCCTTTTTCACCATAGGCCTCAGTACACTCCAAATATCCATTTACAGATAATACAAATGACTGTATCCAAACTGCTCAATCAAAAGAAAGTTCAACTGTGCATGATGAATGCACACATCACAAGGGTGTTTCTCAGAAAGATTTTGTCTTGTTTTTAGGTGAAGATATTTCTTATTTCCCCAGAGGCCTCAATGGGCTCTCAAATATTCCCTTTCATATTCTACTAAATGACTGTATCGAAGCTGCTCAATCAAAAGACGGGTTTAACAGTGTGAGACGAAAATACACCTTCCTAGGAAGTTTCTCAGAATTCTTCTTTCTAGTTTTTTATGTGAAGATATTTCCTTTTCCACTATAGGCCTCAAAGCGTTCCAAATATCCACTTGCAGATACTACAAATAGAGCGTTTCAAAACTGCTCAATCAAAAGAAAGGTTCAACCCTGTGAGATGAATGCAGACATCAAAAAGAAGTTTCTCAGAATGTTTCCGCCTTGTTTTTATGTGAAGATATTTCCTTTTTCACCATAGGCCTCAAAGCACTGGTAATATCCATTTGCAGATACTACAAAAAAACTGTTCCCAAACTGCTCAATAAAAAGAAAGTTTCAACTCTAGGAGATAAAAGCAAATATCACAAAGAAGTTTCTCAGAAACTTTCTATCTAGTTTTTATGTGAACATATTTCTTATCACCCCATAGACCTCAATCGGCTCACAAGTATCCTTCTGCAGATTGTAAAAAACTACTGTTTCCAAACCGCTCAATCACAGGAAAGTTTTAACTCTGTGAAATGAATGCATCCATCACAGAGAAGTTTCTCAGAATGCTTCCGTCTCGTTTTCATGTGAAGAAGATTCCTTTTCCACCATATTCCTCATGCGTTCCAAATAAACACTTGCAGATTCCGCTAAAAGAGTGTTTCAAAACTGCTCAATCAAAAGAAAGGTTCTAGTCGGTGAGATGAATGCACACATCACAAAGAAGTTTCTATGAATGCTTCTGTCTGATTTATATTGAAGATATTTCCTTTTTCACCGTAGGCCTCAGAGTGCTTAAAATATCCATTTGCAGATACTAGAAAAGACTGTTTCCAAACTGCTCAATCAAAATAAAGTTCAACTCAGTGAGATGAATGCACACATCACCAAGACGTTTCTGAGAAAGATTCTGTCTCGTTTTTATGTGAAGATATTTCCTGTTTCCCCAGAGGCATCAATGGGCTCACAAATATTCCTTTGCATATTCTACAAAATGACTGTTTAGAAGGTGCTCAATCAAAAAAAAAGTTCAACAGTGTGAGATGAATGCGCCCATTCAAAGGAAGTTTCTCAGAATTCTTCTATCTAGTTTTCATGTGAAGATATTTCCTTTTTCACTATAGGCCACAAAGTGCTCCAAATATCCACTTGCAGACTCTGCAAAACGAGTGTATCCACACTGCTCAATCAAAAGAAAATTTCAACTGTGTGAGATGAATGCACACATCAAAATAAATTTCTCCAAAACTTCTGCCTACTTTTTATGGGAAGATATTTCGTTTTTCAATGTAGGCCAAAAGCACTCCAAATATCAATTTGCAGATTCTACAAAAAGACTGTTTCCAAACTGCTCAATCAACAGAAAGTTTCAACCCGGTGAGTAGAAGACACACATGACAAAATAGTTTCTCAGAAAGTATCTGTCTAGTTTTTACGTGAAGATATTTCCTATCACCCCAGAAGCCTCAATGGGCTCACAAATATTCCTTTGCAGATTCTACAAAACGACAGTTTCAAAACTGCTGAATCAAAAGAAAGGTTCAACTCTGGGAGATGAATGCACAGATCACAAATAAGTTTCTCAGAATGCTGCTGCCTAGTTTTAATGGGAAGAGATTTCCTTTTCCACCATAGGCCTCAAAGCTCTCCAAATAGCCATTTGCAGATACTGTAAAAAGACTGTTTCCAAACTGCTGAATCAAAAGAAAGGTTGAACTCCATGAGTTGAATGCACACGTCATAAAGAAGTTTCTCAGAATGGTTCTGACTAGTTTTTATGTGAAGATATTTTCTTTTCCACCATAGGCCTCAAAGCGCTGAAAATATCCACTTGAAGATTCTACAGAAAGAGAGTTTCAAAACTGCTCAAACAAAAGAAAGATTCAACTCTGTGAGATGAATGCACACATCACAAAGAAGTTTCTCAGAATGCTTCTGTCTAGTTTTATGTAAAGATATTTCCTTTTCTACTATAGGCCACAAAGCACTCCAAATATCAACTTGCAGATTCTGCAGAAAGAGTTATTCAAAGCTGCTCAATCAAAAGAAAAGTTCAACTCCTTGAGACGAATGCACACATCATGAAGTTCCTCAGAATGCTTCTATTTTTATGTGAAGATATATCCTTTTCTACCATAGACCACAAAACGCTCCAAATATCCCCTTGCAGATTCTACTAAAAGAGTGTTTCCAAAAGGCTCAATCAAAAGAAAGTTTCAAATCTGTGAGATGAATGCACACATCACAAAGAAGTTTCTCAGAATGCTTCTGTCTAGTTTTATGTAAAGATATTTCCTTTTCTACTATAGGCCACAAAGCACTCCAAATATCAACTTGCAGATTCTGCAGAAAGAGTTTTTCAAAGCTGCTCAGTCAAAAGACAAGTTCAACTCTTTGAGATGAATGCACACATCATGAAGTTCCTCAGAATGCTTCTATTTTTATGTGAAGATATATCCTTTTCTACCATAGACCACAAAACGCTCCAAATATCCCCTTGCAGTTTCTACTAAAAGAGTGTTTCCAAACGGCTCAATCAAAAGAAAGTTTCAACTCTGTGAGATGAATGCACACATCATTAAGAAGTGTCTCAGTAATTTTCTGTCTAGTTTTTATGTGAAGATATTTCCTTTCCTACTATAGGCCTGAAAGTGCTGCAAATATCCGTTTGCAGATACTGCAAAAAGACTGTTTCCACACTGCTCAATCAAAGGAAATGTCCAACTCTGTGAGTTGAATGCACGCATCTCAAAGAGATTACTTATAATGATTCTGTCTGGTTTTGATGTGAAGATATTTGCTTTTCCACCAGTGGCCTCAAACTCTCCAAATATCCACTTGCAGATTCTACAATAAGAGTGTTTCAAAACTGCTCAATCAAAAGAAAGGTTCAACACTGTGAGATGAATGCACACGTCACAAAGCACTTTCTTAGAATGCTTCTGTCTAGCTTTTATGTGAAGATATTTCCTTTTTCACCATAGGCTGCAAAGCGCTCCAAATATCCCTTTCAGATTCTACAGAAAGAGTATTTCAAAACTGTTCAATCAAAAGAGAAACTCAACTCTGGTGATGAATGCACACATCACAAAGCAGTTTCTCATAATGTTTCTGTCTAGTTTTTATGTGAAGATATTTCATTCTCCACTATAGGCCGTAATGCACTCCTAATATCCACTTGCAGATTCTACAAAAAGACTGTTTGCAAACTGCTCAAACAAAAGAAAAGTTCAACTCTGTGAGTTGAATGAGCACATCACAAAGAAGTTTCTCAGAATGCTTCTGTCTAGTTTTTATGTGAATATATTTCCTTTTCCACTATAGGTCGTCATGCGCTCCAAATATCCACTTGCAGATTCTACAAAAAGACTGTTTCCAAACTGCTCAATCAAAAGAAAAGCTCAACTCTGTGAGTTGAATGAGCACATCACAAAGAAGTTTCTCAGAATGCTTCTATCTAGTTTTTATGTGAATATATTTCCTTTTCCACCACAGGCCACAAACCCTCCAAATATCCACTTGAAGATTCTACAAAAAGAGTGCTTCAAAAATACTCAATCAAAAGAAAGGTTCAACTCTTCGAGATGGACGCACACATCACAAAGAAGCTTCTCAGAATGTTTCTGTCTAGTTTTTTTGTGAAGATATTTCCTTTTCCACTGAAGTCCTCAAGTCTCTCCAACTATCTACTTTCAGAATCTCCAAAAAGAGTGTTTTAAATCTGCTGTACCAAAGAAAGTTTCATGTCTGAGATATGACTGCATACAACACAGAGAACTTTCTCAAAGTGCTTCTGTTTATTTTTCTTATGAAGATATTTCCTTTTCCACTATGGGCCACAGAGCGCTCCAAATATCCACTGGCAGATTCTACAAAAAGAGTGTTTCAAAACTGCTCAATCAATAGAAAGTTTGAAGTCTGTGAGATGAATGTGCACATCACAAAGGAGTTTCTAAGAATGCTTCCATCTGAATTTTATGTGAGGATATTTCCTTTTTCACCATAGGCCTCAATACACTCCAAATATCCATTTACAGATAATACAAATGACTGTATCCAAACTGCTCAATCAAAAGAAAGTTCAACTGTGCATGATGAATGCACACATCACAAGGGTGTTTCTCAGAAAGATTTTGTCTTGTTTTTAGGTGAAGATATTTCTTATTTCCCCAGAGGCCTCAATGGGCTCTCAAATATTCCCTTTCATATTCTACTAAATGACTGTATCGAAGCTGCTCAATCAAAAGACGGGTTTAACAGTGTGAGACGAAAATACACCTTCCTAGGAAGTTTCTCAGAATTCTTCTTTCTAGTTTTTTATGTGAAGATATTTCCTTTTCCACTATAGGCCTCAAAGCGTTCCAAATATCCACTTGCAGATACTACAAATAGAGCGTTTCAAAACTGCTCAATCAAAAGAAAGGTTCAACTCTGTGAGATGAATGCAGACATCAAAAAGAAGTTTCTCAGAATGCTTCCGCCTTGTTTTTATGTGAAGATATTTCCTTTTTCACCATAGGCCTCAAAGCACTGGTAATATCCATTTGTAGATACTACAAAAAGACTGTTCCCAAACTGCTCAATAAAAAGAAAGTTTCAACTCTATGAGATAAAAGCTAATATCACAAAGAAGTTTCTCAGAAACTTTCTATCTAGTTTTTATGTGAACATATTTCTTATCACCCCATAGACCTCAATCGGCTCACAAGTATCCTTCTGCAGATTGTAAAAAACTACTGTTTCCAAACCGCTCAATCACAGGAAAGGTTTAACTCTGTGAAATGAATGCATCCATCACAGAGAAGTTTCTCAGAATGCTTCCGTCTCGTTTTCATGTGAAGAAGATTCCTTTTCCACCATATTCCTCATGCGTTCCAAATAAACACTTGCAGATTCCGCTAAAAGAGTGTTTCAAAACTGCTCAATCAAAAGAAAGGTTCTAGTCGGTGAGATGAATGCACACATCCCAAAGAAGTTTCTATGAATGCTTCTGTCTGATTTATATTGAAGATATTTCCTTTTTCACCGTAGGCCTCAGAGTGCTTAAAATATCCATTTGCAGATACTAGAAAAGACTGTTTCCAAACTGCTCAATCAAAGTAAAGTTCAACTCAGTGAGATGAATGCACACATCACCAAGACGTTTCTGAGAAAGATTCTGTCTCGTTTTTATGTGAAGATATTTCCTGTTTCCCCAGAGGCATCAATGGGCTCACAAATATTCCTTTGCATATTCTACAAAATGACTGTTCAGAAGGTGCTCAATCAAAAAAAAAGTTCAACAGTGTGAGATGAATGCGCCCATTCAAAGGAAGTTTCTCAGAATTCTTCTATCTAGTTTTTATGTGAAGATATTTCCTTTTTCACTATAGGCCACAAAGTGCTCCAAATATCCACTTGCAGACTCTACAAAACGAGTGTATCCACACTGCTCAATCAAAAGAAAATTTCAACTGTGTGAGATGAATGCACACATCAAAATAAATTTCTCCAAAACTTCTGCCTACTTTTTATGGGAAGATATTTCGTTTTTCAACGTAGGCCAAAAGCACTCCAAATATCAATTTGCAGATTCTACAAAAAGACTGTTTCCAAACTGCTCAATCAAGAGAAAGTTTCAACCCGGTGAGTAGAAGTCACACATGACAAAATAGTTTCTCAGAAAGTATCTGTCTAGTTTTTATGTGAAGATATTTCCTATCACCCCAGAAGCCTCAATGGGCTCACAAATATTCCTTTGCAGATTCTACAAAACGACAGTTTCAAAACTGCTGAATCAAAAGAAAGGTTCAACTCTGTGAGATGAATGCACAGATCACAAATAAGTTTCTCAGAATGCTGCTGTCTAGTTTTTATGGGAAGAGATTTCCTTTTCCACCATAGGCCTCAAAACTCTCCAAATAGCCATTTGCAGATACTATAAAAAGACTGTTTCCAAACTGCTGAATCAAAAGAAAGGTTGAACTCCATGAGTTGAATGCACATGTCACAAAGAAGTTTCTCAGAATGCTTCTGACTAGTTTTTATGTGAAGATATTTTCTTTTCCACCATAGGCCTCAAAGCGCTGAAAATATCCACTTGAAGATTCTACAGAAAGAGAGTTTCAAAACTGCTCAAACAAAAGAAAGATTCAACTCTGTGAGATGAATGCACACATCACAAAGAAGTTTCTCAGAATGCTTCTGTCTAGTTTTATGTAAAGATATTTCCTTTTCTACTATAGGCCACAAAGCACTCCAAATATCAACTTGCAGATTCTGCAGAAAGAGTTTTTCAAAGCTGCTCAATCAAAAGAAAAGTTCAAATCTTTGAGATGAATGCACACATCAGGAAGTTCCTCAGAATGCTTCTATTTTTATGTGAAGATATATCCTTTTCTACCATAGACCACAAAACGCTCCAAATATCCCCTTGCAGTTTCTACTAAAAGAGTGTTTCCAAACGGCTCAATCAAAAGAAAGTTTCAACTCTGTGAGATGAATGCACACATCATTAAGAAGTGTCTCAGTAATTTTCTGTCTAGTTTTTATGTGAAGATATTTCCTTTCCTACTATAGGCCTGAAAGTGCTGCAAATATCCGTTTGCAGATACTGCAAAAAGACTGTTTCCACACTGCTCAATCAAAGGAAATGTCCAACTCTGTGAGTTGAATGCACGCATCTCAAAGAGATTACTTATAATGATTCTGTCTGGTTTTGATGTGAAGATATTTGCTTTTCCACCAGTGGCCTCAAACTCTCCAAATATCCACTTGCAGATTCTACAATAAGAGTGTTTCAAAACTGCTCAATCAAAAGAAAGGTTCAACACTGTGAGATGAATGCACACGTCACAAAGCACTTTCTTAGAATGCTTCTGTCTAGCTTTTATGTGAAGATATTTCCTTTTTCACCATAGGCTGCAAAGCGCTCCAAATATCCCTTTCAGATTCTACAGAAAGAGTATTTCAAAACTGTTCAATCAAAAGAGAAACTCAACTCTGGTGATGAATGCACGCATCACAAAGCAGTTTCTCATAATGTTTCTGTCTAGTTTTTATGTGAAGATATTTCATTCTCCACTATAGGCTGTAATGCACTCCTAATATCCACTTGCAGATTCTACAAAAAGACTGTTTGCAAACTGCTCAAACAAAAGAAAAGTTCAACTCTGTGAGTTGAATGAGCACATCACAAAGAAGTTTCTCAGAATGCTTCTGTCTAGTTTTTATGTGAATATATTTCCTTTTCCACTATAGGTCGTCATGCGCTCCAAATATCCACTTGCAGATTCTACAAAAAGACTGTTTCCAAACTGCTCAATCAAAAGAAAAGCTCAACTCTGTGAGTTGAATGAGCACATCACAAAGAAGTTTCTCAGAATGCTTCTATCTAGTTTTTATGTGAATATATTTCCTTTTCCACCACAGGCCACAAACCCTCCAAATATCCACTTGAAGATTCTACAAAAAGAGTGCTTCAAAAATACTCAATCAAAAGAAAGGTTCAACTCTTCGAGATGGACGCACACATCACAAAGAAGCTTCTCAGAATGTTTCTGTCTAGTTTTTTTGTGAAGATATTTCCTTTTCCACTGAAGTCCTCAAGTCTCTCCAACTATCTACTTTCAGAATCTCCAAAAAGAGTGTTTTAAATCTGCTGTACCAAAGAAAGTTTCATGTCTGAGATATGACTGCATACAACACAGAGAACTTTCTCAAAGTGCTTCTGTTTATTTTTCTTATGAAGATATTTCCTTTTCCACTATGGGCCACAGAGCGCTCCAAATATCCACTGGCAGATTCTACAAAAAGAGTGTTTCAAAACTGCTCAATCAATAGAAAGTTTGAAGTCTGTGAGATGAATGTGCACATCACAAAGGAGTTTCTAAGAATGCTTCCATCTGAATTTTATGTGAGGATATTTCCTTTTTCACCATAGGCCTCAATACACTCCAAATATCCATTTACAGATAATACAAATGACTGTATCCAAACTGCTCAATCAAAAGAAAGTTCAACTGTGCATGATGAATGCACACATCACAAGGGTGTTTCTCAGAAAGATTTTGTCTTGTTTTTAGGTGAAGATATTTCTTATTTCCCCAGAGGCCTCAATGGGCTCTCAAATATTCCCTTTCATATTCTACTAAATGACTGTATCGAAGCTGCTCAATCAAAAGACGGGTTTAACAGTGTGAGACGAAAATACACCTTCCTAGGAAGTTTCTCAGAATTCTTCTTTCTAGTTTTTTATGTGAAGATATTTCCTTTTCCACTATAGGCCTCAAAGCGTTCCAAATATCCACTTGCAGATACTACAAATAGAGCGTTTCAAAACTGCTCAATCAAAAGAAAGGTTCAACTCTGTGAGATGAATGCAGACATCAAAAAGAAGTTTCTCAGAATGCTTCCGCCTTGTTTTTATGTGAAGATATTTCCTTTTTCACCATAGGCCTCAAAGCACTGGTAATATCCATTTGTAGATACTACAAAAAGACTGTTCCCAAACTGCTCAATAAAAAGAAAGTTTCAACTCTATGAGATAAAAGCTAATATCACAAAGAAGTTTCTCAGAAACTTTCTATCTAGTTTTTATGTGAACATATTTCTTATCACCCCATAGACCTCAATCGGCTCACAAGTATCCTTCTGCAGATTGTAAAAAACTACTGTTTCCAAACCGCTCAATCACAGGAAAGGTTTAACTCTGTGAAATGAATGCATCCATCACAGAGAAGTTTCTCAGAATGCTTCCGTCTCGTTTTCATGTGAAGAAGATTCCTTTTCCACCATATTCCTCATGCGTTCCAAATAAACACTTGCAGATTCCGCTAAAAGAGTGTTTCAAAACTGCTCAATCAAAAGAAAGGTTCTAGTCGGTGAGATGAATGCACACATCCCAAAGAAGTTTCTATGAATGCTTCTGTCTGATTTATATTGAAGATATTTCCTTTTTCACCGTAGGCCTCAGAGTGCTTAAAATATCCATTTGCAGATACTAGAAAAGACTGTTTCCAAACTGCTCAATCAAAGTAAAGTTCAACTCAGTGAGATGAATGCACACATCACCAAGACGTTTCTGAGAAAGATTCTGTCTCGTTTTTATGTGAAGATATTTCCTGTTTCCCCAGAGGCATCAATGGGCTCACAAATATTCCTTTGCATATTCTACAAAATGACTGTTCAGAAGGTGCTCAATCAAAAAAAAAGTTCAACAGTGTGAGATGAATGCGCCCATTCAAAGGAAGTTTCTCAGAATTCTTCTATCTAGTTTTTATGTGAAGATATTTCCTTTTTCACTATAGGCCACAAAGTGCTCCAAATATCCACTTGCAGACTCTACAAAACGAGTGTATCCACACTGCTCAATCAAAAGAAAATTTCAACTGTGTGAGATGAATGCACACATCAAAATAAATTTCTCCAAAACTTCTGCCTACTTTTTATGGGAAGATATTTCGTTTTTCAACGTAGGCCAAAATCACTCCAAATATCAATTTGCAGATTCTACAAAAAGACTGTTTCCAAACTGCTCAATCAAGAGAAAGTTTCAACCCGGTGAGTAGAAGTCACACATGACAAAATAGTTTCTCAGAAAGTATCTGTCTACTTTTTATGTGAAGATATTTCCTATCACCCCAGAAGCCTCAATGGGCTCACAAATATTCCTTTGCAGATTCTACAAAACGACAGTTTCAAAACTGCTGAATCAAAAGAAAGGTTCAACTCTGTGAGATGAATGCACAGATCACAAATAAGTTTCTCAGAATGCTGCTGTCTAGTTTTTATGGGAAGAGATTTCCTTTTCCACCATAGGCCTCAAAACTCTCCAAATAGCCATTTGCAGATACTATAAAAAGACTGTTTCCAAACTGCTGAATCAAAAGAAAGGTTGAACTCCATGAGTTGAATGCACATGTCACAAAGAAGTTTCTCAGAATGCTTCTGACTAGTTTTTATGTGAAGATATTTTCTTTTCCACCATAGGCCTCAAAGCGCTGAAAATATCCACTTGAAGATTCTACAGAAAGAGAGTTTCAAAACTGCTCAAACAAAAGAAAGATTCAACTCTGTGAGATGAATGCACACATCACAAAGAAGTTTCTCAGAATGCTTCTGTCTAGTTTTATGTAAAGATATTTCCTTTTCTACTATAGGCCACAAAGCACTCCAAATATCAACTTGCAGATTCTGCAGAAAGAGTTTTTCAAAGCTGCTCAATCAAAAGAAAAGTTCAAATCTTTGAGATGAATGCACACATCATGAAGTTCCTCAGAATGCTTCTATTTTTATGTGAAGATATATCCTTTTCTACCATAGACCACAAAACGCTCCAAATATCCCCTTGCAGTTTCTACTAAAAGAGTGTTTCCAAACGGCTCAATCAAAAGAAAGTTTCAACTCTGTGAGATGAATGCACACATCATTAAGAAGTGTCTCAGTAATTTTCTGTCTAGTTTTTATGTGAAGATATTTCCTTTCCTACTATAGGCCTGAAAGTGCTGCAAATATCCGTTTGCAGATACTGCAAAAAGACTGTTTCCACACTGCTCAATCAAAGGAAATGTCCAACTCTGTGAGTTGAATGCACGCATCTCAAAGAGATTACTTATAATGATTCTGTCTGGTTTTGATGTGAAGATATTTGCTTTTCCACCAGTGGCCTCAAACTCTCCAAATATCCACTTGCAGATTCTACAATAAGAGTGTTTCAAAACTGCTCAATCAAAAGAAAGGTTCAACACTGTGAGATGAATGCACACGTCACAAAGCACTTTCTTAGAATGCTTCTGTCTAGCTTTTATGTGAAGATATTTCCTTTTTCACCATAGGCTGCAAAGCGCTCCAAATATCCCTTTCAGATTCTACAGAAAGAGTATTTCAAAACTGTTCAATCAAAAGAGAAACTCAACTCTGGTGATGAATGCACGCATCACAAAGCAGTTTCTCATAATGTTTCTGTCTAGTTTTTATGTGAAGATATTTCATTCTCCACTATAGGCCGTAATGCACTCCTAATATCCACTTGCAGATTCTACAAAAAGACTGTTTGCAAACTGCTCAAACAAAAGAAAAGTTCAACTCTGTGAGTTGAATGAGCACATCACAAAGAAGTTTCTCAGAATGCTTCTGTCTAGTTTTTATGTGAATATATTTCCTTTTCCACTATAGGCCGTCATGCGCTCCAAATATCCACTTGCAGATTCTACAAAAAGACTGTTTCCAAACTGCTCAATCAAAAGAAAAGCTCAACTCTGTGAGGTGAATGAGCACATCCCAAAGAAGTTCCTCAGAATGCTTCTATCTAGTTTTTATGTGAATATATTTGCTTTTCCACCACAGGCCACAAACCCTCCAAATATCCACTTGAAGATTCTACAAAAAGAGTGCCTCAAAAATGCGCAATCAAAAGAAAGGTTCAACTCTTCGAGATGGACGCACACATCACAAAGAAGCTTCTCAGAATGTTTCTGTCTAGTTTTTTTGTAAAGATATTTCCTTTTCCACCGTAGTCCTCAAGTCTCTCCAAATATCTACTTTCAGAATCTCCAAAAAGAGTGTTTTAAAACTGCTGTACCAAAGAAAGTTTCATGTCGGAGATATGACTGCATACAACACAGAGAAGTTTCTCAAAGTGCTTCTGTTTATTTTTCTTATGAAGATATTTCCTTTTCCACTATGGGCCACAGAGTGCTCCAAATATCCACTGGCAGATTCTACAAAAAGGGTGTTTCAAAAGCTGCTCAATCAATAGAAAGTTTGAAGTCTGTGAGATGAATGTACACATCACAAAGGAGTTTCTAAGAATGCTTCCATCTGAATTTTATGTGAGGATATTTCCTTTTTCACCATAGGCCTCAGTACACTCCAAATATCCATTTACAGATAATACAAATGACTGTATCCAAACTGCTCAATCAAAAGAAATTTCAACTCTGTATGATGAATGCACACATCACAAGGGTGTTTCTCAGAAAGATTTTGTCTAGTTTTTAGGTGAAGATATTTCTTATTTCCCCAGAGGCCTCAATGGGCTCTCAAATATTCCCTTTCATATTCTACTAAATGACTGTATCGAAGCTGCTCAATCAAAAGACGGGTTTAACAGTGTGAGACGAAAATACACCTTCCTAGGAAGTTTCTCAGAATTCTTCTTTCTAGTTTTTTATGTGAAGATATTTCCTTTTCCACTATAGGCCTCAAAGCGTTCCAAATATCCACTTGCAGATACTACAAATAGAGCGTTTCAAAACTGCTCAATCAAAAGAAAGGTTCAACTCTGTGAGATGAATGCAGACATCAAAAAAACTTTCTCAGAATGCTTCCGCCTTGTTTTTATGTGAAGATATTTCCTTTTTCACCATACGCCTCAAAGCACTGGTAATATCCATTTGCAGATACTACAAAAAGACTGTTCCCAAACTGCTCAATAAAAAGAAATTTTCAACTCTATGAGATAAAAGCTAATATCACAAAGCAGTTTCTCAGAAACTTTCTATCTAGTTTTTATGTGAACATATTTCTTATCACCCCATAGACCTCAATCGGCTCACAAGTATCCTTCTGCAGATTGTAAAAAACTACTGTTTCCAAACCGCTCAATCACAGGAAAGGTTTAACTCTGTGAAATGAATGCATCCATCACAGAGAAGTTTCTCAGAATGCTTCCGTCTCGTTTTCATGTGAAGAAGATTCCTTTTCCACCATATTCCTCATGCGCTCCAAAGAAACACTTGCAGATTCCGCTAAAAGAGTGTTTCAAAACTGCTCAATCAAAAGAAAGGTTCTAGTCGGTGAGATGAATGCACACATCACAAAGAAGTTTCTATGAATGCTTCTGTCTGATTTATATTGAAGATATTTCCTTTTTCACCGTAGGCCTCAGAGTGCTTAAAATATCCATTTGCAGATACTAGAAAAGACTGCTTCCAAACTGCTCAATCAAAATAAAGTTCAACTCAGTGAGATGAATGCACACATCACCAAGACGTTTCTGAGAAAGATTCTGTCTCGTTTTTATGTGAAGATATTTCCTGTTTCCCCAGAGGCATCAATGGGCTCACAAATATTCCTTTGCATATTCTACAAAATGACTGTTTAGAAGGTGCTCAATCAAAAAAAAAGTTCAACAGTGTGAGATGAATGCGCCCATTCAAAGGAAGTTTCTCAGAATTCTTCTATCTAGTTTTTATGTGAAGATATTTCCTTTTTCTCTATAGGCCACAAAGTGCTCCAAATATCCACTTGCAGACTCTACAAAACGAGTGTATCCACACTGCTCAATCAAAAGAAAATTTCAACTGTGTGAGATGAGTGCACACATCAAAATAAATTTCTCCAAAACTTCTGCCTACTTTTTATGGGAAGATATTTCGTTTTTCAACGTAGGCCAAAAGCACTCCAAATATCAATTTGCAGATTCTACAAAAAGACTGTTTCCAAACTGCTCAATCAACAGAAAGTTTCAACCCGGTGAGTAGAAGTCACACATGACAAAATAGTTTCTCAGAAAGTATCTGTCTAGTTTTTACGTGAAGATATTTCCTATCACCCCAGAAGCCTCAATGGGCTCACAAATATTCCTTTGCAGATTCTACAAAACGACAGTTTCAAAACTGCTGAATCAAAAGAAAGGTTCAACTCTGGGAGATGAATGCACAGATCACAAATAAGTTTCTCAGAATGCTGCTGCCTAGTTTTAATGGGAAGAGATTTCCTTTTCCACCATAGGCCTCAAAGCTCTCCAAATAGCCATTTGCAGATACTGTAAAAAGACTGTTTCCAAACTGCTGAATCAAAAGAAAGGTTGAACTCCATGAGTTGAATGCACACGTCATAAAGAAGTTTCTCAGAATGGTTCTGACTAGTTTTTATGTGAAGATATTTTCTTTTCCACCATAGGCCTCAAAGCGCTGAAAATATCCACTTGAAGATTCTACAGAAAGAGAGTTTCAAAACTGCTCAAACAAAAGAAAGATTCAACTCTGTGAGATGAATGCACACATCACAAAGAAGTTTCTCAGAATGCTTCTGTCTAGTTTTATGTAAAGATATTTCCTTTTCTACTATAGGCCACAAAGCACTCCAAATATCAACTTGCAGATTCTGCAGAAAGAGTTTTTCAAAGCTGCTCAATCAAAAGAAAAGTTCAACTCTTTGAGATGAATGCACACATCATGAAGTTCCTCAGAATGCTTCTATTTTTATGTGAAGATATATCGTTTTCTACCATAGACCACAAAACGCTCCAAATATCCCCTTGCAGTTTCTACTAAAAGAGTGTTTCCAAACGGCTCAATCAAAAGAAAGTTTCAACTCTGTGAGATGAATGCACACATCATTAAGAAGTTTCTCAGTAATTTTCTGTCTAGTTTTTATGTGAAGATATTTCCTTTCCTACTATAGGCCTGAAAGTGCTCCAAATATCCGTTTGCAGATACTGCAAAAAGACTGTTTCCACACTGCTCAATCAAAGGAAATGTCCAACTCTGTGAGTTCAATGCACGCATCTCAAAGAGATTACTTATAATGATTCTGTCTAGTTTTGATGTGAAGATATTTGCTTTTCCACCAGTGGCCTCAAACTCTCCAAATATCCACTTGCAGATTCTACAATAAGAGTGTTTCAAAACTGCTTAATCAAAAGAAAGGTTCAACACTGTGAGATGAATGCACACGTCACAAAGCACTTTCTTAGAATGCTTCTGTCTAGCTTTTATGTGAAGATATTTCCTTTTTCACCATAGGCTGCAAAGCGCTCCAAATACCCCTTTCAGATTCTACAGAAAGAGTGTTTCAAAACTGTTCAATCAAAAGAGAAACTCAACTCTGGTGATGAATGCACGCATCACAAAGCAGTTTCTCATAATGTTTCTGTCTAGTTTTTATGTGAAGATATTTCATTCTCCACTATAGGCCATAATGCACTCCTAATATCCACTTGCAGATTCTACAAAAAGACTGTTTGCAAACTGCTCAAACAAAAGAAAAGTTCAACTCTGTGAGTTGAATGAGCACATCACAAAGAAGTTTCTCAGAATGCTTCTGTCTAGTTTTTATGTGAATATATTTCCTTTTCCACTATAGGCCGTCATGCGCTCCAAATATCCACTTGCAGATTCTACAAAAAGACTGTTTCCAAACTGCTCAATCAAAAGAAAAGCTCAACTCTGTGAGTTGAATGAGCACATCACAAAGAAGTTTCTCAGAATGCTTCTATCTAGTTTTTATGTGAATATATTTCCTTTTCCACCACAGGCCACAAACCCTCCAAATATCCACTTGAAGATTCTACAAAAAGAGTGCTTCAAAAATGCTCAATCAAAAGAAAGGTTCAACTCTTCGAAATGGACGCACACATCACAAAGAAGCTTCTCAGAATGTTTCTGTCTAGTTTTTTTGTGAAGATATTTCCTTTTCCACCGTAGTCCTCAAGTCTCTCCAAATATCTACTTTCAGAATCTCCATAAAGAGTGTTTTAAAACTGCTGTACCAAAGAAAGTTTCATGTCTGAGTTATGACTGCATACAACACAGAGAACTTTCTCAAAGTGCTTCTGTTTATTTTTCTTATGAAGATATTTCCTTTTCCACTATGGGCCACAGAGCGCTCCAAATATCCACTGGCAGATTCTACAAAAAGAGTGTTTCAAAACTGCTCAATCAGTAGAAAGTTTGAGGTGTGTGAGATGAATGTACACATCACAAAGGAGTTTCTAAGAATGCTTCCATCTGAATTTTATGTGAGGATACTTCCTTTTTCACCATAGGCCTCAGTACACTCCAAATATCCATTTACAGATAATACAAATGACTGTATCCAAACTGCTCAATCAAAAGAAAGTTCAACTGTGTATGATGAATGCACACATCACAAGGGTGTTTCTCAGAAAGATTTTGTCTAGTTTTTAGGTGAAGATATTTCTTATTTCCCCAGAGTCCTCAATGGGCTCTCAAATATTCCCTTTCATATTATACTAAATGACTGTATTGAAGCTGCTCAATCAAAAGACGGGTTTAACAGTGTGAGACGAAAATACACCTTCCTAGGAAGTTTCTCAGAATTCTTCTTTCTAGTTTTTTATGTGAAGATATTTCCTTTTCCACTATAGGCCTCAAAGCGTTCCAAATATCCACTTGCAGATACTACAAATAGAGCGTTTCAAAACTGCTCAATCAAAGGAAAGGTTCAACTCTGTGAGATGAATGCAGACATCAAAAAGAAGTTTCTCAGAATGCTTCTGCCTTGTTTTTATGTGAAGATATTTCCTTTTTCACCATAGGCCTCAAAGCACTGGTAATATCCATTTGCAGATACTACAAAAAGACTGTTCCCAAACTGCTCAATAAAAAGAAAGTTTCAACTCTAGGAGATAAAAGCAAATATCACAAAGAAGTTTCTCAGAAACTTTCTATCTAGTTTTTATGTGAACATATTTCTTATCACCCCATAGACCTCAATCGGCTCACAAGTATCCTTCTGCAGATTGTAAAAAACTACTGTTTCCAAACCGCTCAATCACAGGAAAGGTTTAACTCTGTGAAATGAATGCATCCATCACAGAGAAGTTTCTCAGAATGCTTCCGTCCGTTTTCATGTGAAGAAGATTCCTTTTCCACCATATTCCTCATGCGCTCCAAAGAAACACTTGCAGATTCCGCTAAAAGAGTGTTTCAAAACTGCTCAATCAAAAGAAAGGTTCTAGTCGGTGAGATGAATGCACACATCACAAAGAAGTTTCTATGAATGCTTCTGTCTGATTTATATTGAAGATATTTCCTTTTTCACCGTAGGCCTCAGAGTGCTTAAAATATCCATTTGCAGATACTAGAAAAGACTGTTTCCAAACTGCTCAATCAAAGTAAAGTTCAACTCAGTGAGATAAATGCACACATCACCAAGACGTTTCTGACAAAGATTCTGTCTCGTTTTTATGTGAAGATATTTCCTGTTTCCCCAGAGGCATCAATGGGCTCACAAATATTCCTTTGCATATTCTACAAAATGACTGTTTAGAAGGTGCTCAATCAAAAAAAAAGTTCAACAGTTTGAGATGAATGCGCCCATTCAAAGGAAGTTTCTCAGAATTCTTCTATCTAGTTTTTATGTGAAGATATTTCCTTTTTCACTATAGGCCACAAAGTGCTCCAAATATCCACTTGCAGACTCTACAAAACGAGTGTATCCACACTGCTCAATCAAAAGAAAATTTCAACTGTGTGAGATGAGTGCACACATCAAAATAAATTTCTCCAAAACTTCTGCCTACTTTTTATGGGAAGATATTTCGTTTTTCAACGTAGGCCAAAAGCACTCCAAATATCAATTTGCAGATTCTACAAAAAGACTGTTTCCAAACTGCTCAATCAACAGAATGTTTCAACCCGGTGAGTAGAAGTCACACATGACAAAATAGTTTCTCAGAAAGTATCTGTCTAGTTTTAATGTGAAGATATTTCCTATCACCCCAGAAGCCTCAATGGGCTCACAAATATTCCTTTGCAGATTCTACAAAACGACAGTTTCAAAACTGCTGAATCAAAAGAAAGGTTCAACTCTGTGAGATGAATGCACAGATCACAAATAAGTTTCTCAGAATGCTGCTGTCTAGTTTTTATGGGAAGATATTTCCTTTTCCACCATAGGCCTCAAAGCTCTCCAAATAGCCATTTGCAGATACTGTAAAAAGACTGTTTCCAAACTGCTGAATCAAAAGAAAGGTTGAACTCCATGAGTTGAATGCACACGTCACAAAAATTTCCCAGAATGCTTCTGACTAGTTTTTATGTGAAGATATTTTCTTTTCCACCATAGGCCTCAAAGCGCTGAAAATATCCACTTGAAGATTCTACAAAATGAGAGTTTCAAAACTGCTCAAACAAAAGAAAGATTCAACTCTGTGAGATGAATGCACACATCACAAAGAAGTTTCTCAGAATGCTTCTGTCTAGTTTTATGTAAAGATATTTCCTTTTCTACTATAGGCCACAAAGCACTCCAAATATCAACTTGCAGATACTGCAGAAAGAGTTTTTCAAAGCTGCTCAATCAAAAGAAAAGTTCAACTCTTTGAGACGAATGCACACATCAGGAAGTTCCTCAGAATGCTTCTATTTTTATGTGAAGACATATCCTTTTCTACCATAGACCACAAAACGCTCCAAATATCCCCTTGCAGTTTCTACTAAAAGAGTGTTTCCCAACTGCTCAATCAAAAGAAGTTTCAACTCTGTGAGATGAATGCACACATCATTAAGAAGTTTCTCAGTAATTTTGTGTCTAGTTTTTATGTGAAGATATTTCCTTTCCTACTATAGGCCTGAAAGTGCTCCAAATATCCGTTTGCAGATACTGCAAAAAGACTGTTTCCAAACTGCTCAATCAAAGGAAATGTCCAACTCTGTGAGTTGAATGCACGCATCTCAAAGAGATTACTTATAATGATTCTGTCTAGTTTTGATGTGAAGATATTTGCTTTTCCACCAGTGGCCTCAAACTCTCCAAATATCCACTTGCAGATTCTACAATAAGAGTGTTTCAAAACTGCTCAATCAAAAGAAAGGTTCAACACTGTGAGATGAATGCACACGTCACAAAGCACTTTCTTAGAATGCTTCTGTCTAGCTTTTATGTGAAGATATTTCCTTTTTCACCATAGGCTGCAAAGCGCTCCAAATATCCCTTTCAGATTCTACAGAAAGAGAGTTTCAAAACTGTTCAATCAAAAGAGAAACTCAACTCTGGTGATGAATGCACGCATCACATAGTAGTTTCTCATCATGTTTTTGTCTGGTTTTTATGTGAAGATATTTCATTTTCCACTATAGGCCGTAATGCACTCCTAATATCCACTTGCAGATTCTACAGAAAGACTGTTTGCAAACTGCTCAAACAAAAGAAAAGTTCAACTCTGTGAGTTGAATGAGCACATCACAAAGAAGTTTCTCAGAATGCTTCTGTCTAGTTTTTATGTGAATATATTTCCTTTTCCACTATAGGCCGTAATGCGCTCCAAATATCCACCTGCAGATTCTACAGAAAGACTGTTTCTAAACTACTCAATCAAAAGAAAAGCTCAACTCTGTGAGTTGAATGAGCACATCAAAAAAAGTTTCTCAGAATGCTTCTATCTAGTTTTTATGGGAATATATTTCCTTTTCCACCACAGGCCACAAACACTCCAAATATCCACTTGAAGATTCTACAAAAAGAGTGCTTCAAAAATGCTCTATCAAAAGAAAGGTTCAACTCTTTGAGATGGATGCACACATCACAAAGAAGCTTCTCAGAATGTTTCTGTCTAGTTTTTGTGTGAAGATATTTCCTTTTCCACCATAGTCCTCAAGTCTCTCCAAATATCTACTTTCAGAATCTCCAAAAAGAGTGTTTTAAAACTGCTGTATCAAAGAAAGTTTCATGTCTGAGATATGACTGCATACAGCACAGAGAAGTTTCTCAAAGTGCTTCTGTTTATTTTTTTTATGAAGATATTTCCTTTTCCACTATTGGCCACAGAGCGCTCCAAATATCCACTGGCAGATTCTACAAAAAGAGTGTTTCAACACTGCTCAATCTATAGAAAGTTTGAAGTCTGTGAGATGAATGCACACATCACAAAGGAGTTTCTAAGAATGCTTCCATCTGAATTTTATGTGAGGATATTTCCTTTTTCACCATAGGCGTCAGTACATTCCAAATATCCATTTACAGATAATACAAATGACTGTATCCAAACTGCTCAATCAAAAGAAAGTTCAACTGTGTATGATGAATGCACACATCACAAGGGTGTTTCTCAGAAAGTTTTTGTCTAGCTTTTAGGTGAAGATATTTCTTATTTCCCCAGAGGCCTCAATGGGCTCTCAAATATTCCCTTTCATATTCTACTAAATGACTGTATCGAAGCTGCTCAATCAAAAGACGGGTTTAACAGTGTGAGACGAAAATACACCTTCCTAGGAAGTTTCTCAGAATTCTTCTTTCCAGTTTTTTATGTGAAGATATTTCCTTTTCCATTATAGGCCTGAAAGCGTTCCAAATATCCACTTGCAGATACTACAAATAGAGCGTTTCAAAACTGCTCAATCAAAAGAAAGGTTCAACTCTGTGAGATGAATGCAGACATCCAAAAGAAGTTTCTCAGAATGCTTCTGCCTTGTTTTTATGTGAAGATATTTCCTTTTTCACCATAGGCCTCAAAGCACTGGTAATATCCATTTGCAGATACTACAAAAAGACTGTTCCCAAACTGCTCAATAAAAAGAAAGTTTCAACTCTAGGAGATAAAAGCAAATATCACAAAGAAGTTTCTCAGAAACTTTCTATCTAGTTTTTATGTGAACATATTTCTTATCACCCCATAGACCTCAATCGGCTCACAAGTATCCTTCTGCAGATTGTAAAAAACTACTGTTTCCAAACCGCTCAATCACAGGAAAGGTTTAACTCTGTGAAATGAATGCATCCATCACAGAGAAGTTTCTCAGAATGCTTCCGTCCGTTTTCATGTGAAGAAGATTCCTTTTCCACCATATTCCTCATGCGCTCCAAAGAAACACTTGCAGATTCCGCTAAAAGAGTGTTTCAAAACTGCTCAATCAAAAGAAAGGTTCTAGTCGGTGAGATGAATGCACACATCACAAAGAAGTTTCTATGAATGCTTCTGTCTGATTTATATTGAAGATATTTCCTTTTTCACCGTAGGCCTCAGAGTGCTTAAAATATCCATTTGCAGATACTAGAAAAGACTGTTTCCAAACTGCTCAATCAAATTAAAGTTCAACTCAGTGAGATGAATGCACACATCACCAAGACGTTTCTGAGAAAGATTCTGTCTCGTTTTTATGTGAAGATATTTCCTGTTTCCCCAGAGGCATCAATGGGCTCACAAATATTCCTTTGCAGATTCTACAAAATGACTGTTTAGAAGGTGCTCAATCAAAAAAAAAGTTCAACAGTGTGAGATGAATGTGCCCATTCAAAGGAAGTTTCTCAGAATTCTTCTATCTAGTTTTTATGTGAAGATATTTCCTTTTTCACTATAGGCCACAAAGTGCTCCAAATATCCACTTGCAGACTCTACAAAACGAGTGTATCCACACTGCTCAATCAAAAGAAAATTTCAACTGTGTGAGATGAATGCACACATCAAAATAAATTTCTCCAAAACTTCTGCCTACTCTTTATGGGAAGATATTTCGTTTTTCAACGTAGGCCAAAAGCACTCCAAATATCAATTTGCAGATTCTACAAAAAGACTGTTTCCAAACTGCTCAATCAAGAGAAAGTTTCAACCCGGTGAGTAGAAGTCACACATGACAAAATAGTTTCCCAGAAAGTATCTATTAATTTTTTATGTGAAGATATTTCCTATCACCCCAGAAGCCTCAATGGGCTCACAAATATTCCTTTGCAGATTCTACAAAACGACAGTTTCAAAACTGCTGAATCAAAAGAAAGGTTCAACTCTGTGAGATGAATGCACAGATCACAAATAAGTTTCTCAGAATGCTGCTGTCTGGTATTTATGGGAAGATATTTCCTTTTCCACCATAGGCCTCAAAGTTCTCCAAATAGCCATTTGCAGATACTGTAAAAAGACTGTTTCCAAACTGCTGAATCAAAAGAAAGGTTGAACTCCATGAGTTGAATGCACACGTCACAAAGAAGTTTCTCAGAATGCTTCTGACTAGTTTTTATGTGAAGATATTTTCTTTTCCACCATAGGCCTCAAAGCATTGAAAATATCCACTTGAAGATTCTACAAAAAGAGAGTTTCAAAACTGCTCAAACAAAAGAAAGATTCAACTCTGTGAGATGAATGCACACATCACAAAGAAGTTTCTCAGAATGCTTCTGTCTAGTTTTATGTAAAGATATTTCCTTGTCTACTATAGGCCACAAAGCACTCCAAATATCAACTTGCAGATTCTGCAGAAAGAGTTTTTCAAAGCTGCTCAATCAAAAGAAAAGTTCAACTCTTTGAGATGAATGCACACATCAGGAAGTTCCTCAGAATGCTTCTATTTTTATGTGAACATATATCCTTTTCTACCATAGACCACAAAACGCTCCAAATATCCCCTTGCAGTTTCTACTAAAAGAGTGTTTCCAAACTGCTCAATCAAAAGAAAGTTTCAACTCTGTGAGATGAATGCACACATCATTAAGAAGTTTCTCAGTAATTTTCTGTCTAGTTTTTATGTGAAGATATTTAATTTCCTACTATAGGCCTGAAAGTGCTCCAAATATCCGTTTGCAGATACTGCAAAAAGACTGTTTCCAAACTGCTCAATCAAAGGAAATGTCCAACTCTGTGAGTTGAATGCACGCATCTCAAAGAGATTACTTATAATGATTCTGTCTAGTTTTGATGTGAAGATATATGCTTTTCCAGCAGTGTCCTCAAACTCTCCAAATATACACTTGCAGATTCTACAATAAGAGTGTTTCAAAACTGCTCAATCAAAAGAAAGGTTCAACACTGTGAGATGAATGCACACGTCACAAAGCACTTTCTTAGAATGCTTCTGTCTAGCTTTTATGTGAAGATATTTCCTTTTTCACCATAGGCTGCAAAGCGCTCCAAATATCCCTTTCAGATTCTACAGAAAGAGTGTTTCAAAACTGTTCAATCAAAAGAGAAACTCAACTCTGGTGATGAATGCACGCATCACAAAGCAGTTTCTCATCTTGTTTCTGTCTGGTTTTTATGTGAAGATATTTCATTTTCCACTATAGGCCGTAATGCACTCCTAACATCCACTTGCAGATTCTACAGAAAGACTGTTTGCAAACTGCTCAAACAAAAGAAAAGTTCAACTCTGTGAGTTGAATGAGCACATCACAAAGAAGTTTCTCAGAATGCTTCTGTCTAGTTTTTATGTGAATATATTTCCTTTTCCACTATAGTCCGTAATGCGCTCCTAGTATCCACCTGCAGATTCTACAAAAAGACTGTTTCCAAACTGCTCAATCAAAAGAAAAGCTCAACTCTGTGAGTTGAATGAGCACATCACAAAGAAGTTTCTCAGAATGCTTCTATCTAGTTTTTATGTGAATATATTTCCTTTTCCACCACAGGCCACAAACACTCCAAATATCCACTTGAAGATTCTACAAAAAGAGTGCTTCAAAAATGCTCAATCAAAAGAAAGGTTCAACTCTTTGAGATGGATGCACACATCACAAAGAAGCTTCTCAGAATGTTTCTGTCTAGTTTTTTTGTGAAGATATTTCCTTTTCCACCGTAGTCCTCAAGTCTCTCCAAATATCTACTTTCAGAATCTCCAAAAAGAGTGTTTTAAAACTGCTGTACCAAAGAAAGTTTCATGTCTGAGATATGACTGCATACAACACAGAGAAGTTTCTCAAAGTGCTTCTGTTTATTTTTTTTATGAAGATATTTCCTTTTCCACTATTGGCCACAGAGCGCTCCAAATATCCACTGGCAGATTCTACAAAAAGAGTGTTTCAAAACTGCTCAATCAATAGAAAGTTTGAAGTCTGTGAGATGAATGCACACATCACAAAGGAGTTTCTAAGAATGCTTCCATCTGAATTTTATGTGAGGATATTTCCTTTTTCACCATAGGCCTCAGTACACTCCAAATATCCATTTACAGATAATACAAATGACTGTATCCAAATTGCTCAATCAAAAGAAAGTTCAACTGTGTATGATGAATGCACACATCACAAGGGTGTTTCTCAGAAAGTTTTTGTGTAGTTTTTAGGTGAAGATATTTCTTATTTCCCCAGAGGCCTCAATGGGCTCTCAAATATTCCCTTTCATATTCTACTAATTGACTGTATCGAAGCTGCCCAATCAAAAGACGGGTTTAACAGTGTGAGACGAAAATACACCTTCCTAGGAAGTTTCTCAGAATACTTCTTTGTAGTTTTTTATGTGAAGATATTTCCTTTTCCACTATAGGCCTCAAAGCGTTCCAAATATCCACTTGCAGATACTACAAATAGAGAGTTTCAAAACTGCTCAATCAAAAGAAAGGTTCAACTCTGTGAGATGAATGCAGACATCAAAAAGTAGTTTCTCAGAATGCTTCTGCCTTGTTTTTATGTGAAGATATTTCCTTTTTCACCATAGGCCTCAAAGCACTGGTAATATCCATTTGCAGATACTACAAAAAGACTGTTCCCAAACTGCTCAATAAAAAGAAAGTTTCAACTCTATGAGATAAAAGCAAATATCACAAAGAAGTTTCTCAGAAACTTTCTATCTAGTTTTTATGTGAACATATTTCTTATCACCCCATAGACCTCAATCGGCTCACAAGTATCCTTCTGCAGATTGTAAAAAACTACTGTTTCCAAACCGCTCAATCACAGGAAAGGTTTAACTCTGTGAAATGAATGCATCCATCCCAGAGAAGTTTCTCAGAATGCTTCTGTCTCGTTTTCATGTGAAGAAGATTCCTTTTCCACCATATTCCTCATGCGCTCCAAAGAAACACTTGCAGATTCCGCTAAAAGAGTGTTTCAAAACTGCTCAATCAAAAGAAAGGTTCTAGTCGGTGAGATGAATGCACACATCACAAAGAAGTTTCTATGAATGCTTCTGTCTGATTTATATTGAAGATATTTCCTTTTTCACCGTAGGCCTCAGAGTGCTTAAAATATCCATTTGCAGATACTAGTAAAGACTGTTTCCAAACTGCTCAATCAAAGTAAAGTTCAACTCAGTGAGATGAATGCACACATCACCAAGACGTTTCTGAGAAAGATTCTGTCTCGTTTTTATGTGAAGATATTTCCTGTTTCCCCAGAGGCATCAATGGGCTCACAAATATTCCTTTGCATATTCTACAAAATGACTGTTCAGAAGGTGCTCAATCAAAAAAAAAAGTTCAACAGTGTGAGATGAATGCGCCCATTCAAAGGAAGTTTCTCAGAATTCTTCTATCTAGTTTTTATGTGAAGATATTTCCTTTTTCACTATAGGCCACAAAGTGCTCCAAATATCCACTTGCAGACTCTACAAAACGAGTGTATCCACACTGCTCAATCAAAAGAAAATTTCAACTGTGTGAGATGAATGCACACATCAAAATAACTTTCTCCAAAACTTCTGCCTACTTTTTATGGGAAGATATTTCGTTTTTCAACGTAGGCCAAAAGCACTCCAAATATCAATTTGCAGATTCTACAAAAAGACTGTTTCCAAACTGCTCAATCAACAGAAAGTTTCAACCCGGTGAGTAGAAGTCACACATGACAAAATAGTTTCTCAGAAAGTATCTGTCTAGTTTTTCTGTGAAGATATTTCCTATCACCCCAGAAGCCTCAATGGGCTCACAAATATTCCTTTGCAGATTCTACAAAACGACAGTTTCAAAACTGCTGAATCAAAAGAAAGGTTCAACTCTGTGAGATGAATGCACAGATCACAAATAAGTTTCTCAGAATGCTGCTGTCTAGTTTTTATGGGAAGAGATTTCCTTTTCCACCATAGGCCTCAAAACTCTCCAAATAGCCATTTGCAGATACTGTAAAAAGACTGTTTCCAAACTGCTGAATCAAAAGAAAGGTTGAACTCCATGAGTTGAATGCACACGTCACAAAGAAGTTTCTCAGAATGCTTCTGACTAGTTTTTATGTGAAGATATTTTCTTTTCCACCATAGGCCTCAAAGCGCTGAAAATATCCACTTGAAGATTCTACAAAAAGAGAGTTTCAAAACTGCTCAAACAAAAGAAAGATTCAACTCTGTGAGATGAATGCACACATCACAAAGAAGTTTCTCAGAATGCTTCTGTCTAGTTTTATGTAAAGATATTTCCTTTTCTACTATAGGCCACAAAGCACTCCAAATATCAACTTGCAGATCCTGCAGAAAGAGTTTTTCAAAGCTGCTCAATCAAAAGAAAAGTTCAACTCTTTGAGATGAATGCACACATCAGGAAGTTCCTCAGAATGCTTCTATTTTTATGTGAAGATATAGCCTTTTCTGCCATAGACCACAAAACGCTCCAAATATCCCCTTGCAGTTTCTACTAAAAGAGTGTTTCCAAACTGCTCAATCAAAAGAAAGTTTCAACTCTGTGAGATGAATGCACACATCATAAAGAAGTTTCTCAGTAATATGCTGTCTAGTTTTTATGTGAAGATATTTCCTTTCCTACTATAGGCCTGAAAGTGCTCCAAATATCCGTTTGCAGATACTGCAAAAAGACTGTTTCCAAACTGCTCAATCAAAGGAAATTTCCAACTCTGTGAGTTCAATGCACGCATCTCAAAGAGATTACTTATAATGATTCTGTCTAGTTTTGATGTGAAGCTATTTGCTTTTCCACCAGTGGCCTCAAACTCTCCAAATATCCACTTGCAGATTCTACAATAAGAGTGTTTCAAAACTGCTCAATCAAAAGAAAGGTTCAACACTGTCAGATGAATGCACACGTCACAAAGCACTTTCTTAGAATGCTTCTGTCTAGCTTTTATGTGAAGATATTTCCTTTTTCACCATAGGCTGCAAAGCGCTCCAAATATCCCTTTCAGATTCTACAGAAAGAGTGTTTCAAAACTGTTCAATCAAAAGAGAAACTCAACTCTGGTGATGAATGCACGCATCACAAAGCAGTTTCTCATCATGTTTCTGTCTAGTTTTTATGTGAAGATATTTCATTTTCCACTATAGGCCGTAATGCACTCCTAATATCCACTTGCAGATTCTACAGAAAGACTGTTTGCAAACTGCTCAAACAAAAGAAAAGTTCAACTCTGTGAGTTGAATGAGCACATCACAAAGAAGTTTCTCAGAATGCTTCTGTCTAGTTTTTATGTGAATATATTTCCTTTTCCACTATAGGCCGTAATGCGCTCCAAATATCCACCTGCAGATTCTACAGAAAGACTGTTTCCAAACTGCTCAATCAAAAGAAAAGCTCAACTCTGTGAGTTGAATGAGCACATCACAAAGAAGTTTCTCAGAATGCTTCTATCTAGTTTTTATGTGAATATATTTCCTTTTCCACCAGAGGCCACAAACACTCCAAATATCCACTTGAAGATTCTACAAAAAGAGTGCTTCAAAAATGCTCAATCAAAAGAAAGGTTCAACTCTTCGAGATGGATGCACACATCACAAAGAAGCTTCTCAGAATGTTTCTGTCTAGTTTTTTTGTGAAGATATTTCCTTTTCCATCATAGTCCTCAAGTCTCTCCAAATATCTACTTTCAGAATCTCCAAAAATATTGTTTTAAAACTGCTGTACCAAAGAAAGTTTCATGTCTGAGATATGACTGCATACAACACAGAGAAGTTTCTCAAAGTGCTTCTGTTTATTTTTTTTATGAAGATATTTCCTTTTCCACTATGGGCATCAGAACGCTCCAAATATCCACTGGCAGATTCTACAAAAAGAGTGTTTCAAAACTGCTCAATCAATAGAAAGTTTGAAGTCTGTGAGATGAATGCACACATCACATAGGAGTTTCTAAGAGTGCTTCCATCTGAATTTTAGGTGAAGGTATTTCCTTTTTCACCATAGACCTCAGTACACTCCAAATATCCATTTACAGATAATACAAATGACTGTATCCAAACTGCTCAATCAAAAGAAAGTTCAACTGTGTATGATGAATGCACACATCACAAGGGTGTTTCTCAGAAAGTTTTTGTCTAGTTTTTAGGTGAAGATATTTCTTATTTCCCCAGAGGCCTCAATGGGCTCTCAAATATTCCCTTTCATATTCTACTAAATGACTGTATCGAAGCTGCTCAATCAAAAGACGGGTTTAACAGTGTGAGACGAAAATACAGCTTCCTAGGAAGTTTCTCAGAATTCTTCTTTCTAGGTTTTTATGTGAAGATATTTCCTTTTCCACTATAGGTCTCAAAGCGTTCCAAATATCCACTTGCAGATACTACAAATAGAGCGTTTCAAAACTGCTGAATCAAAAGAAAGGTTGAACTCCGTGAGTTGAATGCACACGTCACAAAGAAGTTTCTCAGAATGCTTCTGGCTAGTTTTTATGTGAAGATATTTTCTTTTCCACCATAGGCCTCAAAGCATTGAAAATATCCACTTGAAGATTCTACAAAAAGAGAGTTTCAAAACTGCTCAAACAAAAGAAAGATTCAACTCTGTGAGATGAATGCACACATCACAAAGAAGTTTCTCAGAATGCTTCTGTCTAGTTTTATGTAAAGATATTTCCTTTTCTACTATAGGCCACAAAGCATTCCAAATATCAACTTGCAGATTCTGCAGAAAGAGTTTTTCAAAGCTGCTCAATCAAAAGAAAAGTTCAACTCTTTGAGATGAATGCACACATCAGGAAGTTCCTCAGAATGCTTCTATTTTTATGTGAAGATATAGCCTTTTCTACCATAGACCACAAAACGCTCCAAATATCCCCTTGCAGTTTCTACTAAAAGAGTGTTTCCAAACTGCTCAATCAAAAGAAGTTTCAACTCTGTGAGATGAATGCACACATCATTAAGAAGTTTCTCAGTAATTTTCTGTCTAGTTTTTATGTGAAGATATTTCCTTTCCTACTATAGGCCTGAAAGTGCTCCAAATATCCGTTTGCAGATACTGCAAAAAGACTGTTTCCAAACTGCTCAATCAAAGGAAATGTCCAACTCTGTGAGTTGAATGCACGCATCTCAAAGAGATTACTTATAATGATTCTGTCTAGTTTTGATGTGAAGATATTTGCTTTTCCACCAGTGGCCTCAAACTCTCCAAATATTCACTTGCAGATTCTACAATAAGAGTGTTTCAAAACTGCTCAATCAAAAGAAAGGTTCAACACTGTCAGATGAATGCACACGTCACAAAGCACTTTCTTAGAATGCTTCTGTCTAGCTTTTATGTGAAGATATTTCCTTTTTCACCATAGGCTGCAAAGCGCTCCAAATATCCCTTTCAGATTCTACAGAAAGAGTGTTTCAAAACTGTTCAATCAAAAGAGAAACTCAACTCTGGTGATGAATGCACGCATCACAAAGCAGTTTCTCATCATGTTTCTGTCTGGTTTTTATGTGAAGATATTTCATTTTCCACTATAGGCCGTAATGCACTCCTAATATCCACTTGCAGATTCTACAGAAAGACTGTTTGCAAACTGCTCAAACAAAAGAAAAGTTCAACTCTGTGAGTTGAATGAGCACATCACAAAGAAGTTTCTCAGAATGCTTCTGTCTAGTTTTTATGTGAATATATTTCCTTTTCCACTAGAGGCTGTAATGCGCTCCTAATATCCACCTGCAGATTCTACAGAAAGACTGTTACCAAACTGCTCAATCAAAAGAAAAGCTCAACTCTGTGAGTTGAATGAGCACATCACAAAGAAGTTTCTCAGAATGCTTCTATCTAGTTTTTATGTGAATATATTTCCTTTTCCACCACAGGCCACAAACACTCCAATTATCCACTTGAAGATTCTACAAAAAGAGTGCTTCAAAAATGCTCAATCAAAAGAAAGGTTCAACTCTTTGAGATGGATGCACACATCACAAAGAAGCTTCTCAGAATGTTTCTGTCTAGTTTTTTTGTGAAGATATTTCCTTTTCCACCGTAGTCCTCAAGTCTCTCCAAATATCTACTTCCAGAATCTCCAAAAAGAGTGTTTTAAAACTGCTGTACCAAAGAAAGTTTCATGTCTGAGATATGACTGCATACAACACAGAGAAGTTTCTCAAAGTGCTTCTGTTTATTTTTTTTATGAAGATATTTCCTTATCCACTATTGGCCACAGAGCGCTCCAAATATCCACTGGCAGATTCTACAAAAAGAGAGTTTCAAAACTGCTCAATCATTAGAAAGTTTGAAGTCTGTGAGATGAATGAACACAACACAAAGGAGTTTCTAAGAATGCTTCCATCTGAATTTTATGTGAGGATATTTCCTTTTTCACCATAGGCCTCAGTACACTCCAAATATCCATTTACAGATAGTACAAATGACTGTATCCAAACTGCTCAATCAAAAGAAAGTTCAACTGTGTATGATGAATGCACACATCACAAGGGTGTTTCTCAGAAAATTTTTGTCTAGTTTTTAGGTGAAGATATTTCTTATTTCCCCAGAGGCCTCAATGGGCTCTCAAATATTCCCTTTCATATTCTACTAAATGACTGTATCGAAGCTGCTCAATCAAAAGACGGGTTTAACAGTGTGAGACGAAAATACACCTTCCTAGGAAGTTTCTCAGAATTCTTCTTTCAGGGTTTTTATGTGAAGATATTTCCTTTTCCACTATAGGTCTCAAAGCGTTCCAAATATCCACTTGCAGACACTACAAATAGAGCGTTTCAAAACTGCTCAATCAAAAGAAAGGTTCAACTCTGCGAGATGAATGCAGACATCAAAAAGAAGTTTCTCAGAATGCTTCTGCCTTGTTTTTATGTGAAGATATTTCCTTTTTCACCATAGGCCTCAAAGCACTGGTAATATCCATTTGCAGATACTACAAAAAGACTGTTCCCAAACTGCTCAATAAAAAGAAAGTTTCAACTCTAGGAGATAAAAGCAAATATCACAAAGAAGTTTCTCAGAAACTTTCTATCTAGTTTTTATGTGAACATATTTCTTATCACCCCATAGACCTCAATCGGCTCACAAGTATCCTTCTGCAGATTGTAAAAAAACTACTGTTTCCAAACCGCTCAATCACAGGAAAGGTTTAACTCTGTGAAATGAATGCATCCATCACAGAGAAGTTTCTCAGAATGCTTCCGTCCGTTTTCATGTGAAGAAGATTCCTTTTCCACCATATTCCTCATGCGCTCCAAAGAAACACTTGCAGATTCCGCTAAAAGAGTGTTTCAAAACTGCTCAATCAAAAGAAAGGTTCTAGTCGGTGAGATGAATGCACACATCACAAAGAAGTTTCTATGAATGCTTCTGTCTGATTTATATTGAAGATATTTCCTTTTTCACCGTAGGCCTCAGAGTGCTTAAAATATCCATTTGCAGATACTAGAAAAGACTGTTTCCAAACTGCTCAATCAAATTAAAGTTCAACTCAGTGAGATGAATGCACACATCACCAAGACGTTTCTGACAAAGATTCTGTCTCGTTTTTATGTGAAGATATTTCCTGTTTCCCCAGAGGCATCAATGGGCTCACAAATATTCCTTTGCATATTCTACAAAATGACTGTTTAGAAGGTGCTCAATCAAAAAAAAAGTTCAACAGTGTGAGATGAATGCGCCCATTCAAAGGAAGTTTCTCAGAATTCTTCTATCTAGTTTTTATGTGAAGATATTTCCTTTTTCACTATAGGCCACAAAGTGCTCCAAATATCCACTTGCAGACTCTACAAAACGAGTGTATCCACACTGCTCAATCAAAAGAAAATTTCAACTGTGTGAGTTGAATGCACACATCAAAATAAATTTCTCCAAAACTTCTGCCTACTTTTTATGGGAAGATATTTCGTTTTTCAACGTAGGCCAAAAGCACTCCAAATATCAATTTGCAGATTCTACAAAAAGACTTTTTCCAAACTGCTCAATCAACAGAAAGTTTCAACCCGGTGAGTAGAAGTCACACATGACAAAATAGTTTCTCAGAAAGTATCTGTCTAGTTTTTATGTGAAGATATTTCCTATCACCCCAGAAGCCTCAATGGGCTCACAAATATTCCTTTGCAGATTCTACAAAACGACAGTTTCAAAACTGCTGAATCAAGAGAAAGGTTCAACTCTGTGAGATGAATGCGCAGATCACAAATAAGTTTCTCAGAATGCTGCTGTCTAGTTTTTATGGGAAGATATTTCCTTTTCCACCATAGGCCTCAAAGCTCTCCAAATATCCATCTGCAGATACTGTAAAAAGACTGTTTCCAAACTGCTGAATCAAAAGAAAGGTTGAACTCCATGAGTTGAATGCACACGTCACAAAGAAGTTTCTCAGAATGCTTCTGACTAGTTTTTATGTGAAGATATTTTCTTTTCCACCATAGGCCTCAAAGCGCTGAAAATATCCACTTGAAGATTCTACAGAAAGAGAGTTTCAAAACTGGTCAAACAAAAGAATGATTCAACTCTGTGAGATGAATGCACACTTCACAAAGCACTTTCTTAGAATGCTTCTGTCTAGCTTTTATTTGAAGATATTTCCTTTTTCACCATAGGCTGCAAAGCGCTCCAAATATCCCTTTCAGATTCTACAGAGAGAGTGTTTCAAAACTGTTCAATCAAAAGAGAAATTCAACTCTGGTGATGAATGCACGCATCACAGAGCAGTTTCTCATAATGTTTCTGTCTATTTTTTATGTGAAGTTATTTCATTTTCCACTATAGGCCGTAATGCACTCCTAATATCCACTTGCAGATTCTACAAAAAGACTGTTTGCAAACTGCTCAAACAAAAGAAAAGTTCAACTCTGTGAGTTGAATGAGCACATCACAAAGAAGTTTCTCAGAATGCTTCTGTCTAGTTTTTATGTGAGTATATTTCCTTTTCCACTATAGGCCATAATGCGCTCCAAATATCCACCTGCAGATTCTACAAAAAGACTGTTTCCAAACTGCTCAATCAAAAGAAAAGTTCAACTCTGTGAGATGAATGAGCACATCACAAAGAAGTTTCTCAGAATGCTTCTATCTAGTTTTTATGTGAATATATTTCCTTTTCCACCACAGGACACAAACACTCCAAATATCCACTTGAAGATTCTACAAAAAGAGTGCTTCAAAAATGCTCAATCAAAAGAAAGGTTCAACTCTTCGAGATGGATGCACACATCACAAAGAAGCTTCTCAGAATGTTTCTGTCTAGTTTTTTTGTGAAGATATTTCCTTTTCCACCGTAGTCCTCAAGTCTCTCCAAATATCTACTTTCAGAATCTCCAAAAAGAGTGTTTTAAAACTGCTGTACCAAAGAAAGTTTCATGTCTGAGATATGACTGCATACAACACAGAGAAGTTTCTCAAAGTGCTTCTGTTTATTTTTTTTATGAAGATATTTCCTTTTCCACTATTGGCCACAGAGCGCTCCAAATATCCACTGGCAGATTCTACAAAAAGAGTGTTTCAAAACTGCTCAATCAATAGAAAGTTTGAAGTCTGTGAGATGAATGCACACATCACAAAGGAGTTTCTAAGAATGCTTCCATCTGAATTTTATGTGAGGATATTTCCTTTTTCACCATAGGCCTCAGTACACTCCAAATACCCATTTACAGATAATACAAATGACTGTATCCAAACTGCTCAATCAAAAGAAAGTTCAACTGTGTATGATGAATGCACACAACACAAGGGTATTTCTCAGAAAGTTTTTGTCTAGTTTTAGGTGAAGATATTTCTTATTTCCCCAGAGGCCTCAATGGGCTCTCAAATATTCCCTTTCATATTCTACTAAATGACTGTATCGAAGCTGCTCAATCAAAAGAGGGGTTTAACAGTGTGAGACGAAAATACACCTTCCTAGGAAGTTTCTCAGAATTCTTCTTTCTAGTTTTTTATTTGAAGATATTTCCTTTTCCACTATAGGCCTCAAAGCGTTCCAAATATCCACTTGCAGATACTACAAATAGAGCGTTTCAAAACTGCTCAATCAAAAGAAAGGTTCAACTCTGCGAGATGAATGCAGACATCAAAAAGAAGTTTCTCAGAATGCTTCTGCCTTGTTTTTATGTGAAGATATTTCCTTTTTCACCATAGGCCTCAAAGCACTGGTAATATCCATTTGCAGATACTACAAAAAGACTGTTCCCAAACTGCTCAATAAAAAGAAAGTTTCAACTCTAGGAGATAAAAGCAAATATCACAAAGAAGTTTCTCAGAAACTTTCTATCTAGTTTTTATGTGAACATATTTCTTATCACCCCATAGACCTCAATCGGCTCACAAGTATCCTTCTGCAGATTGTAAAAAACTACTGTTTCCAAACCGCTCAATCACAGGAAAGGTTTAACTCTGTGAAATGAATGCATCCATCACAGAGAAGTTTCTCAGAATGCTTCCGTCCGTTTTCATGTGAAGAAGATTCCTTTTCCACCATATTCCTCATGCGCTCCAAAGAAACACTTGCAGATTCCGCTAAAAGAGTGTTTCAAAACTGCTCAATCAAAAGAAAGGTTCTAGTCGGTGAGATGAATGCACACATCACAAAGAAGTTTCTATGAATGCTTCTGTCTGATTTATATTGAAGATATTTCCTTTTTCACCGTAGGCCTCAGAGTGCTTAAAATATCCATTTGCAGATACTAGAAAAGACTGTTTCCAAACTGCTCAATCAAATTAAAGTTCAACTCAGTGAGATGAATGCACACATCACCAAGACGTTTCTGATAAAGATTCTGTCTCGTTTTTATGTGAAGATATTTCCTGTTTCCCCAGAGGCATCAATGGGCTCACAAATATTCCTTTGCATATTCTACAAAATGACTGTTTAGAAGGTGCTCAATCAAAAAAAAAGTTCAACAGTGTGAGATGAATGCGCCCATTCAAAGGAAGTTTCTCAGAATTCTTCTATCTAGTTTTTATGTGAAGATATTTCCTTTTTCACTATAGGCCACAAAGTGCTCCAAATATCCACTTGCAGACTCTACAAAACGAGTGTATCCACACTGCTCAATCAAAAGAAAATTTCAACTGTGTGAGATGAGTACACACATCAAAATAAATTTGTCCAAAACTTCTGCCTACTTTTTATGGGAGGATATTTCGTTTTTCAACGTAGGCCAAAAGCACTCCAAATATCAATTTGCAGATTCTACAAAAAGACTTTTTCCAAACTGCTCAATCAACAGAAAGTTTCAACCCGGTGAGTAGAAGTCACACATGACAAAATAGTTTCTCAGAAAGTATCTGTCTAGTTTTTATGTGAAGATATTTCCTATCACCCCAGAAGCCTCAATGGGCTCACAAATATTCCTTTGCAGATTCTACAAAACGACAGTTTCAAAACTGCTGAATCAAGAGAAAGGTTCAACTCTGTGAGATGAATGCGCAGATCACAAATAAGTTTCTCAGAATGCTGCTGTCTAGTTTTTATGGGAAGATATTTCCTTTTCCACCATAGGCCTCAAAGCTCTCCAAATATCCATCTGCAGATACTGTAAAAAGACTGTTTCCAAACTGCTGAATCAAAAGAAAGGTTGAACTCCATGAGTTGAATGCACACGTCACAAAGAAGTTTCTCAGAATGCTTCTGACTAGTTTTTATGTGAAGATATTTTCTTTTCCACCATAGGCCTCAAAGCGCTGAAAATATCCACTTGAAGATTCTACAGAAAGAGAGTTTCAAAACTGGTCAAACAAAAGAATGATTCAACTCTGTGAGATGAATGCACACTTCACAAAGCACTTTCTTAGAATGCTTCTGTCTAGCTTTTATTTGAAGATATTTCCTTTTTCACCATAGGCTGCAAAGCGCTCCAAATATCCCTTTCAGATTCTACAGAGAGAGTGTTTCAAAACTGTTCAATCAAAAGAGAAATTCAACTCTGGTGATGAATGCACGCATCACAGAGCAGTTTCTCATAATGTTTCTGTCTATTTTTTATGTGAAGTTATTTCATTTTCCACTATAGGCCGTAATGCACTCCTAATATCCACTTGCAGATTCTACAAAAAGACTGTTTGCAAACTGCTCAAACAAAAGAAAAGTTCAACTCTGTGAGTTGAATGAGCACATCACAAAGAAGTTTCTCAGAATGCTTCTGTCTAGTTTTTATGTGAATATATTTCCTTTTCCACTATAGGCCGTAATGCGCTCCAAATATCCACCTGCAGATTCTACAAAAAGACTGTTTCCAAACTGCTCAATCAAAAGAAAAGTTCAACTCTGTGAGATGAATGAGCACATCACAAAGAAGTTTCTCAGAATGCTTCTATCTAGTTTTTATGTGAATATATTTCCTTTTCCACCACAGGCCACAAACACTCCAAATATCCACTTGAAGATTCTACAAAAAGAGTGCTTCAAAAATGCTCAATCAAAAGAAAGGTTCAACTCTTTGAGATGGATGCACACATCACAAAGAAGCTTCTCAGAATGTTTCTGTCTAGTTTTTTTGTGAAGATATTTCCTTTTCCACCGTAGTCCTCAAGTCTCTCCAAATATCTACTTTCAGAATCTCCAAAAAGAGTGTTTTAAAACTGCTGTACCAAAGAAAGTTTCATGTCTGAGATATGACTGCATACAACACAGAGAAGTTTCTCAAAGTGCTTCTGTTTATTTTTTTTATGAAGATATTTCCTTTTCCACTATTGGCCACAGAGCGCTCCAAATATCCACTGGCAGATTCTACAAAAAGAGTGTTTCAAAACTGCTCAATCAATAGAAAGTTTGAAGTCTGTGAGATGAATGCACACATCACAAAGGAGTTTCTAAGAATGCTTCCATCTGAATTTTATGTGAGGATATTTCCTTTTTCACCATAGGCCTCAGTACACTCCAAATACCCATTTACAGATAATACAAATGACTGTATCCAAACTGCTCAATCAAAAGAAAGTTCAACTGTGTATGATGAATGCACACAACACAAGGGTGTTTCTCAGAAAGTTTTTGTCTAGTTTTAGGTGAAGATATTTCTTATTTCCCCAGAGGCCTCAATGGGCTCTCAAATATTCCCTTTCATATTCTACTAAATGACTGTATCGAAGCTGCTCAATCAAAAGAGGGGTTTAACAGTGTGAGACGAAAATACACCTTCCTAGGAAGTTTCTCAGAATTCTTCTTTCTAGTTTTTTATGTGAAGATATTTCCTTTTCCACTATAGGCCTCAAAGCGTTCCAAATATCCACTTGCAGATACTACAAATAGAGCGTTTCAAAACTGCTCAATCAAAAGAAAGGTTCAACTCTGCGAGATGAATGCAGACATCAAAAAGAAGTTTCTCAGAATGCTTCTGCCTTGTTTTTATGTGAAGATATTTCCTTTTTCACCATAGGCCTCAAAGCACTGGTAATATCCATTTGCAGATACTACAAAAAGACTGTTCCCAAACTGCTCAATAAAAAGAAAGTTTCAACTCTAGGAGATAAAAGCAAATATCACAAAGAAGTTTCTCAGAAACTTTCTATCTAGTTTTTATGTGAACATATTTCTTATCACCCCATAGACCTCAATCGGCTCACAAGTATCCTTCTGCAGATTGTAAAAAACTACTGTTTCCAAACCGCTCAATCACAGGAAAGGTTTAACTCTGTGAAATGAATGCATCCATCACAGAGAAGTTTCTCAGAATGCTTCCGTCCGTTTTCATGTGAAGAAGATTCCTTTTCCACCATATTCCTCATGCGCTCCAAAGAAACACTTGCAGATTCCGCTAAAAGAGTGTTTCAAAACTGCTCAATCAAAAGAAAGGTTCTAGTCGGTGATATGAATGCACACATCACAAAGAAGTTTCTATGAATGCTTCTGTCTGATTTATATTGAAGATATTTCCTTTTTCACCGTAGGCCTCAGAGTGCTTAAAATATCCATTTGCAGATACTAGAAAAGACTGTTTCCAAACTGCTCAATCAAATTAAAGTTCAACTCTGTGAGATGAATGCACACATCACCAAGACGTTTCTGAGAAAGATTCTGTCTCGTTTTTATGTGAAGATATTTCCTGTTTCCCCAGAGGCATCAATGGGCTCACAAATATTCCTTTGTATATTCTACAAAATGACTGTTTAGAAGGTGCTCAATCAAAAAAGAATTTCAACAGTGTGAGATGAATGCGCCCATTCAAAGGAAGTTTCTCAGAATTCTTCTATCTAGTTTTTATGTGAAGATATTTCCTTTTTCACTATAGGCCACAAAGTGCTCCAAATATCCACTTGCAGACTCTTCGAAACGAGTGTATCCACACTGCTCAATCAAAAGAAAATTTCAACTGTGTGAGATGAATGCACACATCAAAATAACTTTCTCCAAAACTTCTGCCTACTTTTTATGGGAAGATATTTCGTTTTTCAACGTAGGCCAAAAGCACTCCAAATATCAATTTGCAGATTCTACAAAAAGACTGTTTCCAAACTGCTCAATCAACAGAAAGTTTCAACCCGGTGAGTAGAAGTCACACATGACAAAATAGTTTCTCAGAAAGTATCTGTCTAGTTTTTCTGTGAAGATATTTCCTATCACCCCAGAAGCCTCAATGGGCTCACAAATATTCCTTTGCAGATTCTACAAAACGACAGTTTCAAAACTGCTGAATCAAAAGAAAGGTTCAACTCTGTGAGATGAATGCACAGATCACAAATAAGTTTCTCAGAATGCTGCTGTCTAGTTTTTATGGGAAGATATTTCCTTTTCCACCATAGGCCTCAAAGCTCTCCAAATAGCCATTTGCAGATACTGTAAAAAGACTGTTTCCAAACTGCTGAATCAAAAGAAAGGTTGAACTCCATGAGTTGAATGCACACGTCACAAAGAAGTTTCTCAGAATGCTTCTGACTAGTTTTTATGTGAAGATATTTTCTTTTCCACCATAGGCCTCAAAGCGCTGAAAATATCCACTTGAAGATTCTACAAAATGAGAGTTTCAAAACTGCTCAAACAAAAGAAAGATTCAACTCTGTGAGATGAATGCACACATCACAAAGAAGTTTCTCAGAATGCTTCTGTCTAGTTTTATGTAAAGATATTTCCTTTTCTACTATAGGCCACAAAGCACTCCAAATATCAACTTGCAGATTCTGCAGAAAGAGTTTTTCAAAGCTGCTCAATCAAAAGAAAAGTTCAACTCTTTGAGATGAATGCACACATCAGGAAGTTCCTCAGAATGCTTCTATTTTTATGTGAAGATATAGCCTTTTCTACCATAGACCACAAAATGCTCCAAATATCCCCTTGCAGTTTCTACTAAAAGAGTGTTTCCAAACTGCTCAATCAAAAGAAAGTTTCAACTCTGTGAGATGAATGCACACATCATTAAGAAGTTTCTCAGTAATTTTCTGTCTAGTTTTTATGTGAAGATATTTCCTTTCCTACTATAGGCCTGAAAGTGCTCCAAATATCCGTTTGCAGATACTGCAAAAAGACTGTTTCCAAACTGCTCAATCAAAGGAAATGTCCAACTCTGTGAGTTGAATGCACGCATCTCAAAGAGATTACTTATAATGATTCTGTTTAGTTTTGATGTGAAGATATTTGCTTTTCCACCAGTGGCCTCAAACTCTCCAAATATCCACTTGCAGATTCTACAATAAGAGTGTTTCAAAACTGCTCAATCAAAAGAAAGGTTCAACACTGTGAGATGAATGCACACGTCACAAAGCACTTTCTTAGAATGCTTCTGTCTAGCTTTTATGTGAAGATATTTCCTTTTTCACCATAGGCTGCAAAGCGCTCCAAATATCCCTTTCAGATTCTACAGAAAGAGTGTTTCAAAACTGTTCAATCAAAAGAGAAACTCAACTCTGGTGATGAATGCACGCATCACAAAGCAGTTTCTCATAATGTTTCTGTCTAGTTTTTATGTGAAGATATTTCATTTTCCACTATAGGCCGTAATGCACTCCTAATATCCACTTGCAGATTCTACAGAAAGACTGTTTGCAAACTGCTCAAACAAAAGAAAAGTTCAACTCTGTGAGTTGAATGAGCACATCACAAAGAAGTTTCTCAGAATGCTTCTGTCTAGTTTTTATGTTAATATATTTCCTTTTCCACTATAGGCCGTAATGCGCTCCAAATATCCACCTGCAGATTCTACAAAAAGACTGTTTCCAAACTGCTCAATCAAAAGAAAAGCTCAACTCTGTGAGATGAATGAGCACATCACAAAGAAGTTTCTCAGAATGCTTCTATCTAGTTTTTATGTGAATATATTTCCTTTTCCACCACAGGCCACAAACACTCCAAATATCCACTTGAAGATTCTACAAAAAGAGTGCTTCAAAAATGCTCAATCAAAAGAAAGGTTCAACTCTTTGAGATGGATGCACACATCACAAAGAAGCTTCTCAGAATGTTTCTGTCTAGTTTTTTTGTGAAGATATTTCCTTTTCCACCGTAGTCCTCAAGTCTCTCCAAATATCTACTTTCAGAATCTCCAAAAAGAGTGTTTTAAAACTGCTGTACCAAAGAAAGTTTCATTTCTGAGATATGACTGCATACAACACAGAGAAGTTTCTCAAAGTGCTTCTGTTTATTTTTTTTATGAAGATATTTCCTTTTCCACTATGGGCCACAGAGCGCTCCAAATATCCACTGGCAGATTCTACAAAAAGAGTGTTTCAAAACTGCTCAATCAATAGAAAGTTTGAAGTCTGTGAGATGAATGCACACATCACATAGGAGTTTCTAAGAATGCTTCCATCTGAATTTTATGTGAGGATATTTCCTTTTTCACCATAGGCCTCAGTACACTCCAAATATCCATTTCCAGATAATACAAATCACTGTATCCAAACTGCTCAATCAAAAGAAAGTTCAACTGTGTATGATGAATGCACACATCACAAGGGTGTTTCTCAGAAAGCTTTTGTCTAGTTTTTAAGTGAAGATATTTCTTATTTCCCCAGAGGCCTCAATGGGCTCTCAAATATTCCCTTTCATATTCTACTAAATGACTGTATCGAAGCTGCTCAATCAAAAGACGGGTTTAACAGTGTGAGACGAAAATACACCTTCCTAGGAAGTTTCTCAGAATTCTTCTTTCTAGTTTTTTATGTGAAGATATTTCCTTTTCCACTATAGGCCTCAAAGCGTTCCAAATATCCACTTGCAGATACTACAAATAGAGAGTTTCAAAACTGCTCAATCAAAAGAAAGTTTCAACTCTGCGAGATGAATGCAGACATCAAAAAGAAGTTTCTCAGAATGCTTCTGCCTTGTTTTTATGTGAAGATATTTCCTTTTTCACCATAGGCCTCAAAGCACTGGTAATATCCATTTGCAGATACTACAAAAAGACTGTTCCCAAACTGCTCAATAAAAAGAAAGTTTCAACTCTAGGAGATAAAAGCAAATATCACAAAGAAGTTTCTCAGAAACTTTCTATCTAGTTTTTATGTGAACATATTTCTTATCACCCCATAGACCTCAATCGGCTCACAAGTATCCTTCTGCAGATTGTAAAAAACTACTGTTTCCAAACCGCTCAATCACAGGAAAGGTTTAACTCTGTGAAATGAATGCATCCATCACAGAGAAGTTTCTCAGAATGCTTCCGTCTCGGTTTCATGTGAAGAAGATTCCTTTTCCACCATATTCCTCATGCGCTCCAAGGAAACACTTGCAGATTCCGCTAAAAGAGTGTTTCAAAACTGCTCAATCAAAAGAAAGGTTCTAGTCGGTGAGATGAATGCACACATCCCAAAGAAGTTTCTATGAATGCTTCTGTCTGATTTATATTGAAGATATTTCCTTTTTCACCGTAGGCCTCAGAGTGCTTAAAATATCCATTTGCAGATACTAGAAAAGACTGTTTCCAAACTGCTCAATCAAAGTAAAGTTCAACTCAGTGAGATGAATGCACACATCACCAAGACGTTTCTGAGAAAGATTCTGTCTCGTTTTTATGTGAAGATATTTCCTGTTTCCCCAGAGGCATCAATGGGCTCACAAATATTCCTTTGCAGATTCTACAAAATGACTCTTTAGAAGGTGCTCAATCAAAAAAAAAGTTCAACAGTGTGAGATGAATGCGCCCATTCAAAGGAAGTTTCTCAGAATTCTTCTATCTAGTTTTTATGTGAAGATATTTCCTTTTTCACTATAGGCCACAAAGTGCTCCAAATATCCACTTGCAGACTCTACAAAACGAGTGTATCCACACTGCACAATCAAAAGAATATTTCAACTGTGTGAGATGAATGCACACATCAAAATAAATTTCTCCAAAACTTCTGCCTACTTTTTATGGGAAGATATTTCGTTTTTCAACGTAGGCCAAAAGCACTCCAAATATCAATTTGCAGATTCTACAAAAAGACTGTTTCCAAACTGCTCAATCAACAGAAAGTTTCAACCCAGTGAGTAGAAGTCACACATGACAAAATAGTTTCTCAGAAAGTATCTGTCTAGTTTTTATGTGAAGATATTTCCTATCACCCCAGAAGCCTCAATGGTCTCACAAATATTCCTTTGCAGATTCTACAAAACGACAGTTTCAAAACTGCTGAATCAAAAGAAAGGTTCAACTCTGTGAGATGAATGCACAGATCACAAATAAGTTTCTCAGAATGCTGCTGTCTAGTTTTTATCGGAAGAGATTTCCTTTTCGACCATAGGCCTCAAAGCTCTCCAAATAGCCATTTGCAGATACTGTAAAAAGACTGTTTCCAAACTGCTGAATCAAAAGAAAGGTTGAACTCCATGAGTTGAATGCACACGTCACAAAGAAGTTTCTCAGAATGCTTCTGACTAGTTTTTATGTGAAGATATTTTCTTTTCCACCGTAGGCCTCAAAGCGCTGAAAATATCCACTTGAAGATTCTACAAAAAGAGAGTTTCAAGACTGCTCAAACAAAAGAAAGATTCAACTCTGTGAGATGAATGCACACATCACAAAGAAGTTTCTCAGAATGCTTCTGTCTAGTTTTATGTAAAGATATTTCCTTTTCTACTATAGGCCACAAAGCACTCCAAATATCAACTTGCAGATTCTGCAGAAAGAGTTTTTCAAAGCTGCTCAATCAAAAGAAAAGTTCAACTCTTTGAGATGAATGCACACATCATGAAGTTCCTCAGAATGCTTCTATTTTTATGTGAAGATATAGCCTTTTCTACCATAGACCACAAAACGCTCCAAATATCCCCTTGCAGTTTCTACTAAAAGAGAGTTTCCAAACGGCTCAATCAAAAGAAGTTTCAACTCTGTGAGATGAATGCACACATCATTAAGAAGTTTCTCAGTAATTTTCTGTCTGGTTTTTATGTGAAGATATTTCCTTTCCTACTATAGGCCTGAAAGTGCTCCAAATATCCGTTTGCAGATACTGCAAAAAGACTGTTTCCAAACTGCTCAATCAAAGGAATTGTCCAACTCTGTGAGTTGAATGCACGCATCTCAAAGAGATTACTTATAATGATTCTGTCTAGTTTTGATGTGAAGATATTTGCTTTTCCACCAGTGGCCTCAAACTCTCCAAATATCCACTTGCAGATTCTACAATAAGAGTGTTTCAAAACTGCTCAATCAAAAGAAAGGTTCAACACTGTGAGATGAATGCACACGTCACAAAGCACTTTCTTAGAATGCTTCTGTCTAGCTTATATGTGAAGATATTTCTTTTTCACCATAGGCTGCAAAGCGCTCCAAATATCCCTTTCAGATTCTACAGAAAGAGTTTTTCAAAACTGTTCAATCAAAAGAGAAATTCAACTCTGGTGATGAATGCACGCATCACAAAGCAGTTTCTCATCATGTTTCTGTCTAGTTTTTATGTGAAGATATTTCATTTTCCACTATAGGCCGTAATGCACTCCTAATATCCACTTGCAGATTCTACAGAAAGACTGTTTGCAAACTGCTCAAACAAAAGAAAAGTTCAACTCTGTGAGTTGAATGAGCACATCACAAAGAAGTTTCTCAGAATGCTTCTGTCTAGTTTTTATGTGAATATATTTCCTTTTCCACTATAGGCCGTAATGCGCTCCAAATATCCACCTGCAGATTCTACAAAAAGACTGTTTCCAAACTGCTCAATCAAAAGAAACGTTCAACTCTGTGAGTTGAATGAGCACATCACAAAGAAGTTTCTCAGAATGCTTCTATCTAGTTTTTATGTGAATATATTTCCTTTTCCACCACAGGCCACAAACACTCCAAATATCCACTTGAAGATTCTACAAAAAGAGTGCTTCAAAAATGCTCAATCAAAAGAAAGGTTCAACTCTTTGAGATGGATGCACACATCACAAAGAAGCTTCTCAGAATGTTCCTGTCTAGTTTTTTTGTGAAGATATTTCCTTTTCCACCGTAGTCCTCAAGTCTCTCCAAATATCTACTTTCAGCATCTCCAAAAAGAGTGTTTTAAAACTGCTGTACCAAAGAAAGTTTCGTGTCTGAGATATGACTGCATACAACACAGAGAAGTTTCTCAAAGTGCTTCTGTTTATTTTTTTTATGAAGATATTTCCTTTTCCACTATTGGCCACAGAGCGCTCCAAATATCCACTGGCAGATTCTACAAAAAGAGTGTTTCAAAACTGCTCAATCAATAGAAAGTTTGAAGTCTGTGAGATGAATGCACACATCACAAAGGAGTTTCTAAGAATGCTTCCATCTGAATTTTATGTGAGGATATTTCCTTTTTCACCATAGGCCTCAATACACTCCAAATATCCATTTACAGATAATACAAATGACTGTATCCAAACTGCTCAATCAAAAGAAAGTTCAACTGTGTATGATGAATGCACACATCACAAGGGTGTTTCTCAGAAAGTTTTTGTCTAGCTTTTAGGTGAAGATATTTCTTATTTCCCCAGAGGTCTCAATGGGCTCTCAAATATTCCCTTTCATATTCTACTAAATGACTGTATCGAAGCTGCTCAATCAAAAGACGGGTTTAACAGTGTGAGACGAAAATACACCTTCCTAGGAAGTTTCTCAGAATTCTTCTGTCTAATTTTTTATGTGAAGATATTTCCTTTTCCACTATAGGCCTCAAAGCGTTCCAAATATCCACTTGCAGATACTACAAATAGAGCGTTTCAGAACTGCTCAATCAAAAGAAAGGTTCAACTCTGTGAGATGAATGCAGACATCAAAAAGAAGTTTCTCAGAATGCTTCTGCCTTGTTTTTATGTGAAGATATTTCCTTTTTCACCATAGGCCTGAAAGCACTGGTAATATCCATTTGCAGATACTACAAAAAGACTGTTCCCAAACTGCTCAATAAAAAGAAAGTTTCAACTCTAGGAGATAAAAGCAAATATCACAAAGAAGTTTCTCAGAAACTTTCTATCTAGTTTTTATGTGAACATATTTCTTATCACCCCATAGACCTCAATCGGCTCACAAGTATCCTTCTGCAGATTGTAAAAAAACTACTGTTTCCAAACCGCTCAATCACAGGAAAGGTTTAACTCTGTGAAATGAATGCATCCATCACAGAGAAGTTTCTCAGAATGCTTCCGTCTCGTTTTTATGTGAAGAAGATTCCTTTTCCACCATATTCCTCATGCGCTCCAAAGAAACACTTGCAGATTCCGCTAAAAGAGTGTTTCAAAACTGCTCAATCAAAAGAAAGGTTCTAGTCGGTGAGATGAATGCACATATTACAAGTTTCTATGAATGCTTCTGTCTGATTTATATTGAAGATATTTCCTTTTTCACCGTAGGCCTCAGAGTGCTTAAAATATCCATTTGCAGATACTAGAAAAGACTGTTTCCAAACTGCTCAATCAAAATAAAGTTCAACTCAGTGAGATGAATGCACACATCACCAAGACGTTTCTGAGAAAGATTCTGTCTCGTTTTTATGTGAAGATATTTCCTGTTTCCCCAGAGGCATCAATGGGCTCACAAATATTCCTTTGCATATTCTACAAAATGACTGTTTAGAAGGTGCTCAATCAAAAAAAAAAGTTCAACAGTGTGAGATGAATGCGCCCATTCAAAGGAAGTTTCTCAGAATTCTTCTATCTAGTTTTTATGTGAAGATATTTCCTTTTTCACTATAGGCCACAAAGTGCTCCAAATATCCACTTGCAGACTCTACAAAACGAGTGTATCCACACTGCTCAATCAAAAGAAAATTTCAACTGTGTGAGATGAATGCACACATCAAAATAAATTTGTCCAAAACTTCTGCCTACTTTTTATGGGAAGATATTTCGTTTTTCAACGTAGGCCAAAAGCACTCCAAATATCAATTTGCAGATTCTACAAAAAGACTGTTTCCAAACTGCTCAATCAAGAGAAAGTTTCAACCCGTTGAGTAGAAGTCACACATGACAAAATAGTTTCTCAGAAAGTATCTCTCTAGTTTTTATGTGAAGATATTTCCTATCACCCCGGAAGCCTCAATGGGCTCACAAATATTCCTTTGCAGATTCTACAAAACGACAGTTTCAAAACTGCTGAATCAAAAGAAAGGTTCAACTCTGTGAGATGAATGCACAGATCACAAATAAGTTTCTCAGAATGCTGCTGTCTGGCATTTATGGGAAGATATTTCCTTTTCCACCATAGGCCTCAAAGCTCTCCAAATAGCCATTTGCAGATACTGTAAAAAGACTGTTTCCAAACTGCTGTATCAAAAGAAAGGTTGAACTCCATGAGTTGAATGCACACGTCACAAAGAAGTTTCTCAGAATGCTTCTGACTAAGTTTTTATGTGAAGATATTTTCTTTTCCACAGTAGGCCTCAAAGCGCTGAAAATATTCACTTGAAGATTCTACAAATGAGAGTTTCAAAACTGCTCAAACAAAAGAAAGATTCAACTCTGTGAGATGAATGCACACATCACAAAGAAGTTTCTCAGAATGCTTCTGTCTAGTTTTATGTAAAGATATTTCCTTTTCTACTATAGGCCACAAAGCACTCCAAATATCAACTTGCAGATTCTGCAGAAAGAGTTTTTCAAAGCTGCTCCATCAAAAGAAAAGTTCAACTCTTTGAGATGAATGTACACATCAGGAAGTTCCTCAGAATGCTTCTATTATTATGTGAAGATATAGCCTTTTCTACCATAGACCACAAAACGCTCCAAATATCCCCTTGCAGTTTCTACTAAAAGAGTGTTTCCAAACTGCTCAATCAAAAGAAGTTTCAACTCTGTGAGATGAATGCACTCATCAATAAGAAGTTTTTCTGTAATTTTCTGTCTAGTTTTTATGTGAAGATATTTCCTTTCCCACTATAGGCCTGAAAGTGCTCCAAATATCCGTTTGCAGATACTGCAAAAAGACTGTTTCCAAACTGCTCAATCAAAGGAAATGTCCAACTCTGTGAGTTGAATGCACGCATCTCAAAGAGATTACTCATAATGATTCTGTCTAGTTTTGATGTGAAGATATTTGCTTTTCCACCAGTGGCCTCAAACTCTCCAAATATCCACTTGCAGATTCTACAATAAGAGTGTTTCAAAACTGCTCAATCAAAAGAAAGGTTCAACACTGTGAGATGAATGCACACGTCACAAAGCACTTTCTTAGAATGCTTCTGTCTAGCTTTTATTTGAAGATATTTCCTTTTTCACCATAGGCTGCAAAGCGCTCCAAATATCCCTTTCAGATTCTACAGAGAGAGTGTTTCAAAACTGTTCAATCAAAAGAGAAATTCAACTCTGGTGATGAATGCACGCATCACAAAGCAGTTTCTCATAATGTTTCTGTCTATTTTTTATGTGAAGTTATTTCATTTTCCACTATAGGCCGTAATGCACTCCTAATATCCACTTGCAGATTCTACAAAAAGACTGTTTGCAAACTGCTCAAACAAAAGAAAAGTTCAACTCTGTGAGTTGAATGAGCACATCATAAAAAGTTTCTCAGAATGCTTCTGTCTAGTTTTTATGTGAATATATTTCCTTTTCCACTATAGGCCGTAATGTGCTCCAAATATCCACCTGCAGATTCTACAAAAAGACTGTTTCCAAACTGCTCAATCAAAAGAAAAGTTCAACTCTGTGAGTTGAATGAGCACATCACAAAGAAGCTTCTCAGAATGTTTCTGTCTAGTTTTTTTGTGAAGATATTTCCTTTTCCACCGTAGTCCTCAAGTCTCTCCAAATATCTACTTTCAGAATCTCCAAAAAGAGTGTTTTAAAACTGCTGTACCAAAGAAAGTTTCATGTCTGAGTTATGACTGCATACAACACAGAGAAGTTTCTCAAAGTGCTTCTGTTTATTTTTTTTATGAAGATATTTCCTTTTCCACTATTGGCCACAGAGGGCTCCAAATATCCACTGGCAGATTCTACAAAAAGAGTGTTTCAAAACTGCTCAATCAATAGAAAGTTTGAAGTCTGTGAGATGAATGCACACATCACAAAGGAGTTTCTAAGAATGCTTCCATCTGAATTTTATGTGAGGATATTTCCTTTTTCACCATAGGCCTCAGTACACTCCAAATATCCATTTACAGATAATACAAATGACTGTATCCAAACTGCTCAATCAAAAGAAAGTTCAACTGTGTATGATGAATGCACAAATCACAATGGTGTTTCTCAGAAAGTTTTTGTCTAGTTTTTAGGTGAAGATATTTCTTATTTCCCCAGAGGCCTCAATGGGCTCTCAAATATTCCCTTTCATATTCTACTAAATGACTGTATCGAAGCTGCTCAATCAAAAGACGGGTTTAACAGTGTGAGACGAAAATACACCTTCCTAGGATGTTTCTCAGAATTCTTCTTTCTAGTTTTTTATGTGAAGATATTTCCTTTTCCACTATAGGCCTCAAAGCGTTCCAAATATCCACTTGCAGATACTACAAATAGAGCATTTCAAAACTGCTCAATCAAAAGAAAGGTTCAACTCTGCGAGATGAATGCAGACATCAAAAAGAAGTTTCTCAGAATGCTTCTGCCTTGTTTTTATGTGAAGGTATTTCCTTTTTCAAAATAGGCCTCAAAGCACTGGTAATATCCATTTGCAGATACTACAAAAAGACTGTTCCCAAACTGCTCAATAAAAAGAAAGTTTCAACTCTAGCAGATAAAAGCAAATATCACAAAGAAGTTTCTCAGAAACTTTCTATCTATTTTTTATGTGAACATATTTCTTATCACCCCATAGACCTCAATCGGCTCACAAGTATCCTTCTGTAGATTATGAAAAACTACTGTTTCCAAACCGCTCAATCACAGGAAAGGTTTAACTCTGTGAAATGAATGCATCCATCACAGAGAAGTTTCTCAGAATGCTTCCGTCTCGTTTTTATGTGAAGAAGATTCCTTTTCCACCATATTCCTCATGCGCTCCAAAGAAACACTTGCAGATTCCGCTAAAAGAGTGTTTCAAAACTGCTCAATCAAAAGAAAGGTTCTAGTCGGTGAGATGAATGCACACATCACAAAGAAGTTTCTATGAATGCTTCTGTCTGATTTATATTGAAGATATTTCCTTTTTCACCGTAGGCCTCAGAGTGCTTAAAATATCCATTTGCAGATACTAGAAAAGACTGTTTCCAAACTGCTCAATCAAAATAAAGTTCAACTCAGTGAGATGAATGCACACATCACCAAGACGTTTCTGAGAAAGATTCTGTCTCGTTTTTATGTGAAGATATTTCCTGTTTCCCCAGAGGCATCAATGGGCTCACAAATATTCCTTTGCATATTCTACAAAATGACTGTTTAGAAGGTGCTCAATCAAAAAAAAAGTTCAACAGTGTGAGATGAATGCGCCCATTCAAAGGAAGTTTCTCAGAATTCTTCTATCTAGTTTTTATGTGAAGATATTTCCTTTTTCACTATAGGCCACAAAGTGCTCCAAATATCCACTTGCAGACTCTGCAAAACGAGTGTATCCACACTGCTCAATCAAAAGAAAATTTCAACTGTGTGAGATGAATGCACACATCAAAATAAATTTCTCCAAAACTTCTGCCTACTTTTTATGGGAAGATATTTCGTTTTTCAACGTAGGCCAAAAGCACTCCAAATATCAATTTGCAGATTCTACAAAAAGACTGTTTCCAAACTGCTCAATCAAGAGAAAGTTTCAACCCGGTGAGTAGAAGTCACACATGACAAAATAGTTTCTCAGAAAGTATCTGTCTAGTTTTTATGTGAAGATATTTCCTATCACCCCAGAAGCCTCAATGGGCTCACAAATATTCCTTTGCAGATTCTACAAAACGACAGTTTCAAAACTGCTGAATCAAGAGAAAGGTTCAACTCTGTGAGATGAATGCGCAGATCACAAATAAGTTTCTCAGAATGCTGCTGTCTAGTTTTTATGGGAAGATATTTCCTTTTCCACCATAGGCCTCAAAGCTCTCCAAATATCCATCTGCAGATACTGTAAAAAGACTGTTTCCAAACTGCTGAATCAAAAGAAAGGTTGAACTCCATGAGTTGAATGCACACGTCACAAAGAAGTTTCTCAGAATGCTTCTGACTAGTTTTTATGTGAAGATATTTTCTTTTCCACCATAGGCCTCAAAGCGCTGAAAATATCCACTTGAAGATTCTACAGAAAGAGAGTTTCAAAACTGGTCAAACAAAAGAATGATTCAACTCTGTGAGATGAATGCACACTTCACAAAGCACTTTCTTAGAATGCTTCTGTCTAGCTTTTATTTGAAGATATTTCCTTTTTCACCATAGGCTGCAAAGCGCTCCAAATATCCCTTTCAGATTCTACAGAGAGAGTGTTTCAAAACTGTTCAATCAAAAGAGAAATTCAACTCTGGTGATGAATGCACGCATCACAGAGCAGTTTCTCATAATGTTTCTGTCTATTTTTTATGTGAAGTTATTTCATTTTCCACTATAGGCCGTAATGCACTCCTAATATCCACTTGCAGATTCTACAAAAAGACTGTTTGCAAACTGCTCAAACAAAAGAAAAGTTCAACTCTGTGAGTTGAATGAGCACATCACAAAGAAGTTTCTCAGAATGCTTCTGTCTAGTTTTTATGTGAATATATTTCCTTTTCCACTATAGGCCGTAATGCGCTCCAAATATCCACCTGCAGATTCTACAAAAAGACTGTTTCCAAACTGCTCAATCAAAAGAAAAGTTCAACTCTGTGAGATGAATGAGCACATCACAAAGAAGTTTCTCAGAATGCTTCTATCTAGTTTTTATGTGAATATATTTCCTTTTCCACCACAGGCCACAAACACTCCAAATATCCACTTGAAGATTCTACAAAAAGAGTGCTTCAAAAATGCTCAATCAAAAGAAAGGTTCAACTCTTTGAGATGGATGCACACATCACAAAGAAGCTTCTCAGAATGTTTCTGTCTAGTTTTTTTGTGAAGATATTTCCTTTTCCACCGTAGTCCTCAAGTCTCTCCAAATATCTACTTTCAGAATCTCCAAAAAGAGTGTTTTAAAACTGCTGTACCAAAGAAAGTTTCATGTCTGAGATATGACTGCATACAACACAGAGAAGTTTCTCAAAGTGCTTCTGTTTATTTTTTTTATGAAGATATTTCCTTTTCCACTATGGGCCACAGAGCGCTCCAAATATCCACTTGCAGATTCTACAAAAAGAGTGTTTCAAACCTGCTCAATCAAAAGGAAGATTTTACTCTATGAGATGAATGGACACATCACAGAGAAGTTTCTCAATATGCTTTTGTCTAGTTTTTATGTTAAGATGTTTCCTTTTCCATTCCATGAAGTAAAGTGATGCAAATATCCATTTGTAGATATTACAAAAAGACTGCTTCCAAACTCCTCGATCAAAAGAAAGGTTCAACTCTGTGAGTTGAATGCACACATCACAAAAAATTTTCTCAGAATGCTTCTGTCTAGTTTTTATGTGAAGATATTTCCTTTTCCACCATAGGCCTCAAAGCACTCAAAATGTCCGTTTGCAGACACTACAGAAAGACGCTTTCCAAGCAGCTCAATCAAAGGAAATGTTCAGCTCTGTGAATTGAATGCACATCACAAAGTAGTTTCCCAGAATGTTTCTTTCCTGTATATATGTGAAGATATTTCCTTTTCCAATATAGGCCTCAAAGCACTCCAAATATCAACTTGCAGATTCTGTGAAAAGGGTGTTTCAAACTTCCCAATCACAGGAAATGTTCAACTCTGTGAGATGAATGCACACAACATGAAGAATTTACTCAGAATGCTTCTGTCTGGTTTTTATTTGAAGATATTTCCTTATCCACTATAGGCCACAAAGCGCTCCATATATCCACTTGCAGATACTACAAAAAGAGTGTTTCCAAGCTGCTCAATCAAAAGAAAGGTTCAACTCCGTGAGTTGAATGCGCACATAACAAAGAATTTTCTCAGAATGCTTCTGTCTAGTTTTCATGTGAAGATATTTCCTTTTCCACCACATGCCTCAAAGCGCTCCAAAAATCCACAAGCAGATTCCATAAATAGAGTATTTCAAAACTGCTGAATCAAAAGAAAGTTTCAGCTCTGTGAGATGAATGCACACTTCACAATGAAGATTCTCAGAATGCTTCTGTCTAGTTTTTATGTGAAGATAATTCCTTTTCCACATTAGGCCTCAAAGCTCTTCAAATATCCCTTGCAGATTCTACAAAAAGAGTGTTTCAAAACTGCTCAATCGAAAGAAAGGTTCAAGTCTGTGAGATGAATGCACATCTCACAAAGACGTTTCTCAGAATGCTTCTGTCTAGTTTTTATTTGAAGATTTATCCTTTTCCACAATAGGCTGCAAAGTGCTCCAAATATCCACTTACAGATTCTTCAAAAAGAGTGTTTCCAGACTGCTCAATCAAAAGAAAGGTTCAACTCTGTTAGTTGAATGCACACATTACAACAAAGTTTATCAGAATGCTTCTGTCTAGTTTTTAGGTGAATATATTCCCTTTTAAACTGTAGTCTGCAAAGCACTCCAAATATTCACTTGCAGATTCTACAAAAAAAGTGATTCAAAATTGTTCAATCAAAAGAAGGGTTCAACAGTGTTAGTTGAATGCACACATCACAAAGAAGTTTCTCAGAATGCTTCTGTCTAGTTTTTATGTGAAGATATATCCTTTTCCACCGTAGGCCCCAAAGCACTCCAAATATCCACTGGTAGAGTCTACAAATGTGCGTTTCAATACTACTCAATCAAAAGAAACGTTCAACTTTGTGAGATGAAAGCACGCATCACAAAGTTGTTTCTCAGAATGCTCTGTCTAGTTTTTATGTGAAGATATTTCCTTTTATACCATAGGCCCCAAAGTGTTCCAAATATCCACCTTCAGATTCTACAAAAAGTGTGTTTCAAAACTGCTCAACCAAAAGAAAGGTTCAAACCTGTGAGATGAATGCACACATCACAAAGGAGTTTCTCAGAATGCTTCTGTCTAGTTTTTGTGTGAAGTTATTTCCTTTACCACCATAGGACTGAAAGAGCTCCAAATGTCCACTTGCAGAATCTACAAAAAGAGTGTTTCAAAATTGCTCAATCAAAATAAAAGTTCAACTCTGTTAGAAGAATGCACACATCACAAAAATTTCGCAGAATGCTTCTGTCTATTTTTTATGTGAAGATATTTCCTTTTCCACTTGAGACTGGAAAGAGCTTCAAATATCCAATTGCAGATTCTGCAAAAGAGTGTTTCAAAACTGCTCAATCAAAGGAAAGGTACAATTCAGTGAACTGAATGTGCACATCAGAAGGAAGTTTCTTAGAATACCTCTGTGCAGTTATTATGTGAAGATATTTACTTTTCCACCATAGGCCCCAAGGCTCTCCAAATATCCAATTGCAGATTCAACAAAAAGTGTGTTTCAAAACTGCTCAATCAAAAGAAAGGTTCAACTCTGTGGGAGGAATGCTCACATCACACACAGGTTTCTCAGAATGCTTCTGTCTTTTTTCTGTGTGAAGATATTTCCTTTTCCACTAGAGGATGCAAAGCGCTCAAAATATCCACTTGCAGATTTTACAAAAGGGTGTTTCTAAAATGCTAAATCAAAATAGTTTCAAGTCTGTGAGATGAATGCATATATCCCAAAGAAGTTTCTCAGAATGCTTCTGTCTAGTTTTTATGTGAAGATATAAAATTTTCCACTATAGGCCACAAAGCGCTTCAAATATCCACTTGCATATTCTTCAAAAAGAGTGTTTCAAAAGTGATGAATCAAAAGAAAAGTTCAACTGTGTGAGATGAATGCACACATCACAAAGAAGTTTCTCAGAATGCTTCTGTCTAGTTTTATGTGCAGATATTTCCTCTACAATAGGGAACAAAGCACTCCAAATATCCACTTACAGATTCTACAAAAGCGGTGTTTCAAAACTGCTCAATCAAAACAAAGTTTCAACTCTGTGAGATCATTGCACACATCATAAAGAAGTTTCTCAGAATGCTTCTGTGTAGTTTTTATGTGAAGATATTTCCTTTTCCACCATAGGCCTCAAAGTGTTCCATATATCTACCTGCAGATTCTAGAAAAAGAGTGTTTCAAAACTATTTAATCAAAAGAAAGGTTCAACCCAGTGAGATGAATGCACTCGTCACAGAGAAGATTCCCAGAATGCTTCTGTCTAGTTTTTATGTGAAGATATTTCCTTTTTCACTATAGGAGGCAAAGCTTTCCAAATATCCAATTGCGGATTCCACAAAAAAAGTGTTCCAAAACTGCTCAATGAAAGGAAATGTTGAATTATGTGAGATAAAAGCACACATCATAAAGGAGTTTCTAAGAATGCTTTTGTCTGGTTTTTATGTGAAGATATTTCCTTTTCAACTATAGGCCTCAAAGCGCTCCAAATATACATTTGCAGATGCTACAAAAAGAATGTTTCCAAACTCCTCAAAGATATGTTCAACTTTGTGAGTTGAATGCACATATCACAAAGTAGTTTCTCAGAATGCTTCTGTCCAGATTTTATTTGAAGATATTCCCTTTACCAACATAGGCCTCAAAGCTCTCCAAATATCGAATTGCAGATTCCACAAAAACAGTGTTTGAATACTGCTCAAACAAAAGAAAGGTTCAACCCTGTGAGATGAATGCATACATCACACAGAAGTTTCTCAGAATGCTTCTGTGTAGTTTTTATGTGAAGATATTTCCTTTACCACCATAAGCCTCAAAGAACTCCAAATATCCACTTACAGATTCTACAAAAAGAGTGCTTCAAAACTGCTCAACCAAAAGAAAGGTTCAACTCTTTGTGATGAATGCACACATCACAAAGTAATTTTTCAGAATGCTTCTGTCTAGTTTTTATGTGAATATACATCCTTTTCCACTATAGGCCACAAAGTGCTCCAAACACCCACTTGCGGATTCTACAAAAAGAGTGTTTTAAACCTCCTCAACAAAAAAGTTTCAACTCTGTGAGGTGAATGCACACCTCACAAAGAACATTCTCAGAATGCTTCTCTCTAGTTTTTATGTGAAGATATTTGCTTTTCCACCATAGGCCGCAAAGCGCGCCAAGTATCCACTTGCAGATTTTACAAAAATAGTGTTTCAAAACTGCTCAAACAAAAGAAAGGTTCAACTCTGTGAGTTGAATGCACACATCACAAAGAAGTTTCTCAGAATGCTGCTGTCTAGCTTTTATCCAAAGTTATTTCCTTTTCCACTATACTCCACAAAGCCCTCTGAATATCCACTTGCAGATTCTACAAAAGAAGTGTTTCAAAACTGCACAATCAAAAGAAAGTTTCGACTCTGTGAGTTGTATGCACACATCAGAAAGAAGTTTCTCAGAATGCTTTTGTGTAGTTTTTATGTGAAGATATTTCCTTTTCCACCATAGGCACCAAAGCTCTCCAAATATCCACTTGCAGATTATACAAAAAGAGGGATTCAAAACTGCTCAATCAAAAGAAAGGTTCAACTCTGTGAGTTGAAGGCACACATAACAAAACCGTTTCTCAGAATGCTTCTCCATAGTTTTTATATGAAGATATTTCCATTTCCACCATTCTCTCCAAAGTGCTCCAAATATCCACTTGCAGATTCTATAAAAAGAGTGTTTCAAAACTGCTCAATGAAAAGAAAGTTTCACCTCTGTTAGATGAATGGACACATCACAAAGACGTTTCTCAGAATGCTTCTGTCTAGTGTTTACGTGAAGATATTTCCTTTTCCACCACACGACTCAAAGCACTCTAAATATGCACTTGCAGATTCTACCAAAAGAGTGTTTCAAAAATGTTCAATCAAAGGAAAGTTTCAAATCTGTGAGATGTACGCACACATCACAAAGAAGTTTCTCAGAATGCTTCTGCCTTGTTTTTATGAGAAGATAATTCTTTTCCACCATAGGCCCCAAAGGGCTCCAAATATCCACCGCAGATCCTACAAAAAGTGTTTAAAAAATGCTAAGTCAATAGAAAGTTTAAACTCTGTGAGATGTATGCACACATAACAAAGAAGTTTCTCAGAATGCTTCTCTCTAATTTTTATGTGAGGATATTTCCTTCTCCACCATAGGCCTGAAAGCACTCGAAATATCCCCTGGCAGATC
>NC_000021.9:8756715-8886604 GCF_000001405.40 Homo sapiens
GATCTTGCATTTAGAAAATCATAAGAAATTTACTAAAAAGTATTAGGACTCATGAACAAATTTAAGAATGTAACACTATATAAGATTGGTATACAAAAATAACTGTACTTCTTCACCAAGAAATCAAGAATCCAAAAATGGAATTATAAAAATAAATCTTGTTACAATAGAATTAAAGCTGGGGAAGCTTAAACTTGAACACTAAAAACTACAATACATGGTTAGCGTTGGAAACACCCAGATACCATCCCTGAGCCTTCTCTCCTTGGCTCTGAGGGCTTTACCTTCACGGGGTGAAGAAAGGGGTTGCATTCTTGGCTTTTACATTATATTAGGTGGGTTCGGGTTGAGGTATCTGCAATTCAAATGAGTATTATATACTCTACTTTTATGGATAAGAGACTGAGGCCCACCAAGAGAGGGAATGACAGTCCATATCCTGGAAGGTGAATTATCAGGCACTGATTTCCGCTATTTAACCCCTGCCAATCATCAAGTATTTAAAGGATCCCCGGATACCATACCAATAGGTGTTCAAGAGAGAAGCCTGTAATCTAGGCGTCTGAGAAAACAAGGCTAGAGATTCCAATATTAGAGACAACAGGGCTCTGGGAAGATTAAGGTTGAGTTTTCTGGATCTGCAGAATAGAGTCACTGAGGACCAATTGCAAGATCAGAGGAGATGAAAGAACAAGTCAAGGCATGCTTAGGAAAAGAGAATATCAGGGATAGGTTTTAGGCAAGAGTCACACTGAGGAAGGGCAGGTTCTTGGCGTCGCTCAGGAAGAAATCCAAAAGCAAGCCTGTGGTGGAAGAAAGCAGCTCTACGGAGGCATTGGCGGTGTTACAGCCCTGCATCCACTCCGGCAGGGCAGGGTGCCCTCCGTGGGTTGTGCTCCCAGAGCAGCAGCCTAGGGGTGGCTTGTAGTCATTTTTATAATTCACTTTTAATGGCATGCTAATTAAGGGGCAGGTTATTCAGAAATAGCTAGAAATGGGCAGTAACTTCCATCTGTTTCCATGGCAAGGGGTGGGGACTTCTCATGATGCCATGGCATTGGCAAACTGTCATGGCACTGGTGGGAGCGTCTTCTGGTGATCTGAGGCGTGAGGTGCTTTCGCTGCCTCTCCCAGGTTCCTCTGTGCCTCTTACCTGAAAGCCCATCAACACCCTCATCTGCCCACCTACAAACGTCACTGCCCTTTCACCCCACCCCCGTTTCACATGCACTCCCACATCAACCCTGAGCATTCAAGCCTGCGTTTCCCTGTTAGGAACCTCGGTGGTAGCCGGAGCTCTGAGAAATCCCTAGACAGAACTCCTTGCCTAGGTTGTGGCAGAAATCAGGGAAGGAAAGGCAAATTTCAGGTCTTTCTCACAATAAATAAATAAAGATAGGTAGATTTGATTGATGGATGGATGGATGGATGAAACGTGGGAGTCTATGGGCAAATATTTATCAGACACTGGAAGTGAAAGTTGTCACAAAGATTATGGAGTGCACCTGTCTTATGACCCTGTTATTTTATCCTAGTATATGCACTAGAGCATATTTTCTAACTGTGTAATTGAAGGCTCACAAATTAGTTTAGTGAGAGAAAAGATAACGGATTGGAAGAGAATTACCATATTCATTAGTTGTGTTTTTAAAATTTTAAAGTAAAATAGAGGCATGATTGTTTTCATGCTTTCGAATGCATCTATAAAAAATAGACTTGAGGGCTGGGCGCAGTGGCTCACGCTTGTAATCCCAGCACCTTGGGAGGCCGAGGAGGGCGGATCACGAGGTCAGGAGTTGGAGACCAGCCTGACCAACATGGTGAAAACCTGTCTCTACTAAAAATACAAAAATTAGGCGAGTGTGGTGGCGCACGCCTGTAATCCCAGGTACTTAGGAGGCTGAGGCAGGAGAATCGCTTGAACCCGGGAAGCGGAGGTTGCAGTGAGCCAAGATTGCACCATTGCACTCCAGCCTGGGCGACAGAGTGAGACTCCATCTCAAAAAAAAAAAAAAACTTACTCATTCATAGCATAGACCAATTGGCCTCTATTGAAATTTCTCCATTATTTTCACAATGTCCCAGGCTGTGAAACCAGGATTTAATAAAGAACCAGAATGCCACATCTGTGTCACCTGGGTAGGGACCAGTCCTGATACATTAAGTCCGGGTCTCTGTGTAACTGGACTCAAGTGCTGGGCAAAACAGAATGTCCGGCGTGGGTTCCTAACGGGGGACCGCAAAGCCTCATGGGAATTGTGGTGTCACCTTCCAATGATGTTACCATCAAGGACCTTGGGAACCAGCTTTTCTCTCTGCGCATGCGCCGCCCGGCCCACTCCGCCATTTTCCTCCGGAAGTGTGGCACCCAGAGTCGGTCCTGTAGCTGGGCCGGCTTGGGGCTTGGTTCTATGTCCCTGTGGGTCGGTGCAAGGGCCAAGAGGAACCCGTAGGCCTCAGGGAATCCCAGGGGGCCGGACCAGTGTTCCCTAGTTGTGGAAGCAGACGCATGGGCGAATCGCGGGAGGGCAGGGCCTGAAGAGCAGGTGCGGGCCACGGACCCAGGCGGAGGCTGGGAGGACAGGCGTGGGGTCCCAGCAGTGAAGCGGGTTCTAGAGGCACAGGAGCGGGTAGGAGAGGCCAGTGGCCCTAGGCCCAGAGTCTGCAGGCCGCGCTCCTGTCCTGCCGCTGAGGGACACGGTTACCAACCAGCATGATGCTCAGTTTGCCCATCTGTCCCAGTGCTAACACACAGTTCTCAGGAGACTTTCCCCATTCCCAGAGGAGTAGTGTGAAACGCGTGCGCCGCTAGTCTTAAACTTGGTGTTTGTATTAGTTGGGTTTCCTGGTGTCTCTTTAGCAAGTGAAGTTTCTGGTTCCCTCCTTCACTGTGTGACCTGCCTAGTCCTCCTGGGTCGCATTTACAGAAGTTTATACGAGACCTAGTTTCCAGGGAAGAACTCACTGATTCCACAAGGGAGATGGCATAATAGATGATGGTCGTCAGCCTTAAGGGTACTTCAGTCTTAACTGTGTGTTACAAAGTTTGAAAGGGAGGGTTCCCTATGAATAAGAAGCACACTTGAAAGAACAGCCATCTGGTCTAACCTCTCACTGGTGCTTCAGAGGAGGAAAAAAGGTCACAGGTGAAGATCCCAGTTTTCCTTGCTCAGGAAATATTAATTCTACTCCCTAGAATGCACAAGATTTGCAAAGACTAGGTGATAGTAGAAGGTTTGGACGAACTTTCAGAAGGTTGAGGTGAATTCAGCTGAGAAGAACAGGCAAGGACTTAGGAAATATTCCTTATTTGAAGGGGCCTGAAAGTGTGGTCTGGGGTACAGCAGTGACCTGTCATACTTGAGAGGATTAAAATACTCTCCAAACACAGTCCCATTCCTTCAATCTTAGCTCGTTTTTTCGCGTCTGAGATATATTAAACCTAGTCCATCCCCAAATTTAGCATTAGATTGCGAAGTTCTATTGATTGTATTTGATTTGTAATTTAAGATTTTCTCCCCCTACATAATTTTGTTAAAAACACAGAAGTGAATTCTGTTCACTTAGGTGTAACAGTTAATACTTGCTGTTTAAGGAACTAATTAAACCTTACTGGCTTATAAAAAACAATCACCATTTTATTTGTATGAAGTTCTGTGGATCTGCACTTTGGTGTGGTGGATTCAGCTGGGTAGTTGATATATTTGTGTTGCCTGGATTACAAAAAGGCCTTAGTCACCTGGTGCGTTGACTGAGCCTGGTTGGTTTAAGATAGTTTCCTTCACAATCTGGTGGTTTGTGGTGACTCTTGGCTAGGCCCTGTGTCTCCAACAGGGTAGCTCCAGACCTCTTCAAAATTTCTCCCAAAAAGGGAAGAACCAATGGATATTTGCATCACATTTTCCATTGTCCATTCACTGGACAAGTCAGATGGAAAAGCCCAATTTATTGTCAGAGCATAATATGAGGGCTTGGATAGAAGGAAAGGTGTTATTGGGAAACATGAGTAGAATGGTGTACTGCAGGAAATACATATTATGTACATTTTAAAAAACGTAATTGTAGGCCAAAATTGCTGGTTTGCAAGATGCACTTTCCACGATGTTCAGGTATAGAAAAGCAAGAGGTACTGTCATGGGAACACTCATATGAAGTTATTTGTGGAATCTACATATTAATAGGAAAATAGTTAATACAGCCCAGTATATTTCTATAACATTTATTTTAGTGAACTTATAATGTTTCTTTGTATTAAATTATTAGATTATATCTTTAGATAATATTGTTACTAAATTAGTAGGTAATACATATTTTTATTCAAAAATAAATTGTGCATCTAATGTCTACCAATTAATGTACTTGTCTATGTATCTTATCTTAACTTGAGCCTCTGCTGCCCCTAATGAGGCGTGAAGGACTCTTCTCCCACGGGGAAGTTTTTCTTTTTCAGGAGGGAGGAGGGCTTTCCCAGGTAATGTGTCTAGAGCATTGGGCAGAAGAATCTGGGACCACACCACACCAGTTCTCTCCTTAATCCACGTCATTTGCCTTCTATCCCAGCTATGTTTCCAGTGTCCTCTGGGTGTTTCCAAGAGCAACAAGAAACGAATAAATATCTGGTGAGTTGTTTACTTGTTCTTCACTTTGTTTTACACTGTATTTTCTGAGTTTATGGGTGTCTGTGAATTAAAAAGGAAAAGTAGAAATAAGTAAAACTCAGGTTGAAGGAAATATACATAAATAAGATAAAGCTGACCTGTAGATATAGGCAGGTTATAAGAGCTTAGAGTTGTCTAAGTTGGGTGGAAATTTTCCTCTGATCTTTCTGATGCCGAGACAAAAAAGGCAGTCATATTTGTTACGTGATTGGAATGGAACCCGAGAAGAGAGCATGCAGTGTTCTTGTGGGACAGGAAAGCTTGTGTGTACCAAGTCCGAACCACCACCTTCATTGGTGACATAGATTATGTGCTGGAACATATTTCACACCGGCCTGGCATTAACCACTTGTAGTGTTGTGCAGTGGAAACGGTCATCTTCCGCTAAAGCACAGCTTCCATCGTAAGTTGTGCTCATTGCTCAAAGAGTGTGGTCCCAAACAGCTTTTGGGAGGTCCTCCTTGATTCATGGATGAAACCCAGAACATCTTGAGTACTGAGTTAACCATAGGTCCTTAAATAACTCTCCAGACATTTTTCTTAGTTTATCTCTACATGCAGGGTGTGCAGCAGCCTGTTCAAAGTCATATTTTCTGGGAAATATTTCCAGTGTTTATTTGCACTTTAGCCCACTCTTTGTAGTCTTAACTTATTTCTTCTAAACTCACCATTAACGTAAATAATAGTCAAATTTAGGGGGACTGTATTTGCCTTACTCAAGTCTTCTACCATAGTTGAAACTGTCGTACCCGAGTGATTTAGAGATAAACGCCACACTTTGAGACGAATTCAGGGGTCCTTTATTAGCTGGTGACTGAGAGACAGCTAACGCACGAAATTCTCTCGGCCCCGAAGAAGGGACAAGATTTTCTTTTATACTTTGGTTTAAAGAGGGGAGGGGGGATTCTAGCTGCAGCAACTTTACAGAAGATAATAACAGACAAAAAATTTAAAAAGACAGATGGTTACAGGAAAACAAACTGTTCCCGGTGCAGGGGCTTTAAATTCACCACAAAGTGATAGGTGAGGGGGCTCTGGGCAATATCTGCCAGACAAATGTGGGGCTTTATGATACTATCTCTGAATAAATTGCTGGGAACTGCAGACATCGCTTGTCTCAGCACTTTATCAGTTAATTCCACTCTTTGATATGTTGAAAGTCAGCTTGCACAAGTTAAAGTCCTTGAGGAAAGGGGGTGGGTAGGGAGCCCTTGATGTCTTGTAAATGAAGGAGCCAAATGGAGTTTGTCTGGTTTTCTCAGCTAAGGGAGAGTCTATTCATATTAAAAACAAGGTTAGCTATCTAAGGAAGAGTCTATTCATGTTACAACGTTGGGTATTACAAAACATCTGTTCATGATCTGGAAATTCTTCTGTGTTAGTTCTGTTAAAAGAAAAACTTTAAAGGAGTTTAATAGAGTAATAAACGATTCACGAATCATGCAGTCCCCAGAATCACAGCAGATTCACAGAGACTCCAGCGCAGTCATGTGATGGAAGAAGATTTATAGACAAAAGGAAAATAGCATACCGAAATCGGAAGTGAGGTACCGAAACAACTCAGTGTTTGCCTTGTTTGAACACATTTTGAACATTTGGCAGTGCCTGAGTGGTTGAAGTTTGGTCATTGGGATTGGCCAAGATGTAGCTGTTGTTCCAGGTGCATACTCTTAAGTTAGTTTTTCATTCTTGTATACCTATTAAGGTAGGTTACAGTTCATCCACAAGGACTCATATATAGAATTATGGAGTCCTTCTCAGGCCATACTTAGTTCACTTTAACAATGCCTTCCCTTTGGTTATTTTCTCAATTATGAGAGATTGGCCAAAACTTCAGTCACTGGTGTGACTATTACCATTGCAAATGTACTTACTTGGTTTAGAAACCCACTGGGAAATAGACCAGTGAGATTTGAAAAGGTGGAACAAGGACTTGAGTAGAAGGTATCTTCTTATGCTGGAACATCCTGTTTACAGGAGAAAAACAAAACCTAGTTTGTTCTAGGATTTATGTGTTTCCTTAAAGTCTTAGTTTGATTATGTTACATTTAGCATGAGTGACTCCATTTTGGTTTGGTTTGGTCTGTTGGGACCTATTGCATGAGTTTAGTTCAAAACAATGGCCTCCCATAATTTTGCTTAAAAAAATTCCTCCTTTTGGCTGGGCGCGGTGGCTCACACATGTAATCCCAGCACTTTGGGAGGCTGAGGTGGGCAGATCACGAGGTCAGGAGATTGAGACCATCCTTGCTAATATGGTGAAACCCCATCTCTACTAAAAATACAAAAAATTAGCGAAGTGTGTTGGTGGGTGCCTGTAGTCCCAGCTACTCAGGAGGCTGAGGTAGGAGAATGGCCTGAACCTGGGAGGCAGAGCTTGCAGTGAGCCAAGATTGTGCCACTGCACTCCACTCTGGGGGACAGACCAAGACTCTGTATTAGAAAAAAAAAGTCCTCCTTTTCAGTCAAGTTCTCACTTAGTTGAGAGTGTGACCAAAATGTAGGGCCTTAGCATCACTCTTAGTTACCACTGTTTTGGGTTTCTGGTTTAGCAGGATGATCCCATTGTTTTGGGTTCTGGTTTTAGCACGTCACTCCCATTGTTTTGGGTTTCTGGTTTAGCAGGATGATCCCATTGTTTTGGGTTTCTGGTTTTAGCACGTCACTCCCATTGTTTTGGGTTTCTGGTTTAGCAGGTCACTCCCACTGTTTTGGGTTCCGGTTTTAGCACGTCACTCCCATTGTTTTGGGTTCCAGTTTTAGCACGTCACTCCCATTGTTTTGGGTTTCTGGTTTAGCAGATCACTCCAATTGTTTTCGGTTTCTGGTTTAGCAGGATGCTCCCATTGTTTGGGGTTTCTGGTTTAGCAGGTCACTCCCATTGTTTTGGGTTCCGGTTTTAGCACATCACTCCCATTGTTTTCATTTCCGGTTTTAGCACATCACTCCCATTGTTTTGGGTTCCAGTTTTAGCAAGTCACTCCCATTGTTTTGGATTCTGATTTTAGTGTTCGTCACCCCCATTGTTCTGGGTTCCAGTTTTAGTATATCACTCTCATTGTTTTGGGTTTCTGGTTTAGCACGTCACTCCCATTGTTTTGGGTTTCTGGTTTCGCAGGTCACTCCCATTGTTTTGGGTTCTGGTTTAAGCACATCACTCCCCTTGTTTTCGTTTCCGCTTTTGGCACGTCACTCCCATTGTTTTGGGTTCCAGTTTTAGCAAGTCACTCCCATTGTTTTGGGTTTCTGGTTTAGCACGTCACTCCCATTGTTTTGGGTTCTGGTTTTAGTGCACATCACTCCCATTGTTTTGGGTTCCAGTTTTAGTACATCGCTCCCATTGTTTTGGGTTTCTGGTTTAGCATGTCACCCCCATTGTTTTGGGTTTCCGGTTTAGCATGTCACTCATAGGTTACGGTGTCCTTATGGTTGCACTTTTTTTTAATCTCTTGTCATTCCAGTTGAAGAGATACCATTTGATATTTTAGAGATGCCTGCATGCAAACTCTTAAAACATTTGAGTAAGTACAGTGCACCAGGGAGACTCTTATGACTCTTGGGATAACACCAAGAATTTGGTATATGCTCCTAACTCAGGGTCCCCATAAATCAAACCACCTAAAATCAAATAGATTAAAGAATGAATTAGATAAAGAGTTTACTTGCTTAACTAAGTGGGTTTTTTTGTTAATTCCCTACAACCAAATCTTTATAATACACCATGTTTTCTCCACATGCTGTAAGTGTTAGCAGCTGCACAGATACTTAAGATAAGTGTCTCATGATAGTAGAGAAGTCTTGATCTGTGATCTTGGGAAAAGCTGTTCACATTAAGGATGCCATCTTCTTCTGGGGGGAACTGTCCTTGTTAGCTTTACCTTAAGGGTTCCAATGGGCATATGGTTCCGAGTGTGGAGGGACCCTTCTGAGTTGTGAGACTATGAACCCAAAGTTTAAGGTTTTAAATTTTTGCTGTCATGTGGATGGCAAGGGCAGTCCTTCTCTGATGTTCTCAGAAGATCCAGTCATCAGATTCTAGATTTTGAAGGGTTTGACTGTCCTCAGTGAACCATAAAAGGCTTTCTTTACCTGGTGAAAATACACTTCAGGGTAATTATCTACTGTTTTAACATCAATTCTCTCGCATGGAAGTTTTTATACAATCAGAAAACATGCACTGAAAATGAAAACTGAATGAAATCCCTTTATAAAATGTTTAAATGGCCCATCAGGTAACCAAATGTACCTGAAGTTTTGATTGTTTTCCTAGAAATATAGTATTGACAAACCAAACATTGGTTATAAACTATTTTAGCAGTTTAGAAATCACCACACCAATATATTTAATTTGGATCATTTTCTCTTTCCATGATGAGTTATGGAATGCAGAACTTTTAATAACAAAAGTTTTAAGGACTTAAGAAGGATAAGGTGGCCATCCTGGTTCTTCATAAGTCTGTGCTTAATTAACATTAGACTTACATCCTCTTGAATACCAGCTGTTTCTCCAAATTAGGTGCATGGCACTGGTAACTGATGAGTAGTTATAGGTGATTTGACTTAGACCATGGAGATTATTTAAATTATATATCTAATCAATTTCAATATTGGTGATTTAGCATGCAAATGTGGCAAAATATTTCCTTGGTATACAATTTTTGTTTTACTTAGGTTAGCAGTTTTATAAACCAGTTGGTCTTTTTATTAAATTTTTGGGATTTTTTTTTGAGACAGAGTCTCACTCTGTTACCTAGGTTGTAGTGCAGTGGCACAATCTTGGCTCACTGCAACCTCCACCTCCTGGGTTCAAGCAATTCTCTTGCCTCAGCCTCCAGAGTAGCTGGGATTACAGGCACATACCACCACACTCAGCTAATTTTTACATTTTTAGTAGAGGTGGGGTTTCACCGTTGGCCAGGCTGGTCTCAAACTCCTGACCTCAAGTGATCCACTGGCCTTGGCCTCCCAAAGTGCTGGGATTGCCGACGTGAGCCGCTGCACCCAGCCTAACTTTTGAGAATTCTTAACCTGTCCAATTCTTGGGGTATCAGGGAACTTATGGGGAATTTTTACCCATGATATTAAAGTTATTAAAAATCTGTGTTCACGAGTGTTTTTCAGGATCCTTTTCATTCTTTCATGAATCTTCTAAGAGACACCATATTCTAGAATTTTGCATGCTTGTGAAGTTTTTAGAAACTGCATCACCATTAAGCAATTAACTGTGGAAATGACTTTAAATAGTTATAGATAAAGACAAATGACAAGGAAATTTGGTTATTTCTGTGGTCTACAATAACTTAATAACCATAATTAGGGTGGATGTGGTGGCTCATGCCTGTAATCCCAGCTCTTTGGGAGGCCGAGGTGGAAGGATCATGAGGTCAGGAGATCGAGACCATCCTGGCTAACACAGTGAAATCCGTCTTTGCTAAAAATACAAAAATTAGCCTGGCATGGTGGTGGGTGCCTGTAGTCCCAGCTACTCAGGAGGCTGAGGCAGGAGAATGGCATGAACCCGGGAGGTGGAGGTTGCAGTGAACTGAGATTGCACCACTGTACTCCAGCCTGGGTGACAGAGAAAGACTCCTTCTCAGAAAAAAAAAAATACAAGAATTTTAGAAATCCTATACAATTTTAGAATGGATTGATGACACACTGAATATAACCTAAAGAAGGTTCAACATTATTTTTTATTTTGACAGTGCTAGCCATGTGAATTAACATGTTAAATAGTCCTGTTTACCTCTCTTTTGGGTGCTTCAGGGGCCTCTGTAGTATCCCAAAGTTAGAGGTCAGAACATAAAATTTTGAAGATGCAATTTGATTTTGGGAAGCCTATTAAATATATTAAAGGTTTAAACACTTGATGTTATGAAATAGAATTCCACGTCAACGTAAGTCATTCATTTACCTAAAATCATGACTTAAAAAATTTTTAAAGGGCAAAAATCTTTACTCATTGATAGGGGGAAGACTTATCTCCACAAATAATCTGCCTCTTGTTTTTCCTTTTTTTTTTGGTAATTTATTTACAAGGCAAACAAATTTTTCATTATTTTATTTTATCATTACTATTATTATTATTATACTTTAAGTTTTACGGTTTATGTGCACAATGTGCCAGTTAGTTACATATGTATACATGTGCCAGTCTGGTGTGCTACACCCATTAACTCGTCATTTAGCATTAGGTATATCTCCTAATGCTATCCCTCCTCCCCCTGCCCACCCCACAACAGTCCCCAGAGTGTGATGTTCCCCTTCCTGTGTCCATGTGTTCTCATTGTTCAATTCCCATCTATGAATGAGAACATACAGTGTTTGGTTTTTTGTCCTTGCGATAGTTTACTGAGAATGATGATTTCCAATTTCATCCATATCCCTACAAAGGACATGAACTCATCATTTTTTATGGCTGCATAGTATTCCATGGTGTATATGTGCCATAATTTCTCAATCCAGTCTATCGTTGTTGGACATTTGTGTTGGTTCCAAGTCTTTGCTATTGTGAATAGTGCGGCAATAAACATACATGTGCATGTGTGTTTATAGCAGCATGATTTATAGTCCTTTGGTTATATACCCACTAATGGGATGGCTGGATCAAATGGTATTTCTAGTTCCAGATACTTGAGGAATCGCCACACTGACTTCCACAATCGTTGAACTAGTTTGCAGTCCCACCAACAGTTTAAAAGTGTTTCTATTTCTCCACATCCTCTGCAGCACCTGTTGTTTCCTGACTTTTTAATGATTGCGATTCTAACTGGTGTGAGATGGTATCTCATTGTGGTTTTGATTTGCATTTCTATGATGGCCAGTGATGATGAGCATTTTTTCATGTGTCTTTTGGCTGCATAAAGGTCTTCTTTTGAGAAGTGTCTGTTCATATCCTTCACCCACTTTTTGATGGGGTTGTATTTCTTTTCTTGTAAATTTGTTTACGTTCGTTGTAGATTCTGGATATTAGCCCTTTGTCAAATGAGTAAGTTGCAAAAATTTTCTCCCATTTTGTAGGTTGCCTGTTCACTCTGATGGCAGTTTCTTTTGCTGTGCAGAAGCTCTTTAGTTTAATTAGATCCCATTTGTCAATTTTGGCTTTTGTTGCCATTGCTTCTGGTGTTTTAGACATGAAGTCTTTGCCCATGCCTATGTCCTGAATGGTAATGCCTAGTTTTACTTCTAGGGTTTTTATGGTTTCAGTTCTAACATTTAAGTCTTTAATCCATCTTGAATTAATTTTTGTATAAGGTGTAAGGAAGGGATCCAGTTTCAGCTTTCTACATATTGCTAGCCAGTTTTCCCAGCACCATTTATTAAATAGGGGATCCACTCCTTGTTTTTGTCAGGTTTGTCAAAGATCAGATAGTTGTAGATATGCGGCATTATTTCTGAGGGCTCTGTGCTGTTCCATTGGTCTATATCTCTGTTTTGGTATCCGTATCATGCTCTTTTGGTTACTGTAGCCTTGTAGTATAGTTTGAAGTCAGGTAGGGTGATGCCTCCAGCTTTGTTCTTTTGGCTTAGGATTGACTTGGTGATGCAGACCCTTTTTTGGTTCCATATGAACTTTAAAGTAGTTTTTTCCAATTCTGTGAAGAAAGTCATTGGTAGCTTGATGGAGATGGCATTGAATCTATAAATTACCTTGGGCAGTATGGCCATTTTCATGATATTGATTCTTCCTATCCATGAGTATGGAATGTTCTTCCATTTGTTTGTATCCTCTTTTATTTCATTGAGCAGTGGTTTGTAGTTCTCCTTGAAGAGGTCCTTCATGTCCCTTGTAAATTGGATTCCTAAGTATTTTATTCTCTTTGAAGCAATTGCGAATGGGAGTTCACTCATGATTTGGCTCTCTGTTTGTCTGTTATTGGTGTATAAGAATGCTTGTGATTTTTGTACATTGATTTTGTATCCTGAGACTTTGCTGAGGTTACTTATCATCAGCTTAAGGAGATTTTGGGCTGAGACAATGGGGTTTTCTAGATATACAATCATGTCATTTGCAAAGAGGGACAATTTGACTTCCTCTTTTCCTAATTGAATACCCTTTATTTCCTTCTCCTGCCTGATTGCCCTGGCCAGAACTTCCAACACTATGTTGAATAGGAGTGATGAGAGAGGGCATCCCTGTCTTGTGCCCGTTTTCAAAGGGAATGCTTCTAGTTTTTGCCCATTCAGTATGATATTGACTGTGGGTTTGTCATAGATAGCTCTTATTATTTTGAGATAAGTCCCATCAATACCTAATTTATTGAGAGTTTTTAGCATGAAGCGCTGTTGAATTTTGTCAAAGGCCTTTTCTGCATCTATTGAGATAATCGTGTGGTTTTTGTCTTTGGTTCTGTTTATATGCTGGATTACTTTTATTGATTTGTGTATATTGAACCAGCCTTGCATCCCAGGGATGAAACCCACTTGATCATGGTGGATAAGCTTTTTTATGTGCTGCTGGATTCGGTTTGCCAGTATTTTATTGAGGATTTTTGCATCAATGTTCATCAAGGATATTGGTCTAAAATTCTCTGTTTTGGTTGTGTCTCTTCCCGGCTTTGGTATCAGGATGATGCTGGCCTCATAAATTGAGTTAGGGAGGATTCTTTCTTTTTCTATTGATTGGAATAGTTTCAGAAGGAATGGTACCAGCTCCTCCTTGTACCTCTGGTAGAATTTGGCTGTGAATCCATCTGGTCCTGGACTCTTTTTGGTTGGTAAGCTATTGATTATTGCCACAATTTCAGATCCTGTTATTGGTCTATTCAGAGATTCAACTTCTTCCTGGTTTAGTCTTGGGAGAGTGTATGCGTGGAGGAATTTATCCATTTCTTCTAGATTTTCTAGTTTATTTGTGTAGAGGTGTTTGTAGTATTCTCTGATGGTAGTTTGTATTTATGAGGGATCAGTGGTGATATCCCCTTTATTATTTTTATTGTGTCTATTTGATTCTTCTCTCTTTTTTCTTTATTAGTCCTGCTAGCAGTGTATCAATTTTGTTCATCCTTTCAAAAAACCAGCTCCTGGATTCATTAATATTTTGAAGCGTTTTTTTGTTGCTATTTCCTTCAGTTCTGCTCTGATTTTAGTTATTTCTTGCCTTCTGCTAGCTTTTGAATGTGTTTGCTCCTGCTTTTCTAGTTCTTTCAATTGTGATGTTAGAGTGTCAATTTTGGATCTTTCCTGCTTTCCCTTGTGGGCATTTAGTGTTATAAATTTCCCTGTACACACTGCTTTGAATGTGTCCCAGAGATTCTGGTATGTTGTGTCTTTGTTCTCGTTGGTTTTAAAGAACATCTTTATTTCTGCCTTCATTTTGTTACGTACCCAGTAGTCATTCAGGAGCAGGTTGTTCAGTTTCCATGTAGTTGAGCAGTTTTGAGTGAGTTTCTTAATGCCGAGTTCTAGTTTGATTGCACTGTGGTCTGAGAGACAGTTTAATTTCTGTTCTTTTACATTTGCTGAAGAGGGCTTTACTTCCAAGTATGTGGTCAATTTTGGAATAGGTGTGGTGTGGTGCTGAAAAAATGTATATTCTATTGATTTGGGTTGGAGAGTTCTGTAGATGTCTATTAGGTCCTCTTGGTGCAGAGCTGAGTTCAATTCCTTGGTATCCTTGTGAAATTTCTGTCTTATTGATCTGTCTAATGTTGACAGTGGGGTGTTAAAGTCTCCCATTATTATTGTGTGGGAGTCTAAGTCTCTTTGTAGGTCACTCAGGACTTGCTTTATGAATCTGGGTGCTCCTGTATTGGGTGCATATATATTTAGGACAGTTAGCTCTTCTTGTTGAATTGATCCCTTTACCATTATGTAATGGTCTTCTTTGTCTCTTTTGATCTTTGTTGGTTTACAGTCTGTTTTATCAGAGTCTAGGATTGCAACCCCTGCCTTTTTTTTGTTTTCCATTTGCTTGGTAGATCTTCCTCCATCCTTTTATTTTGAGCCTATGTGTGTCTCTGCACGTGACATGGGTTTCCTGAATACAGCACACTAATGGGTCTTGACTCTTTATCCAATTTGCCAGTCTGTGTCTTTTAATTGGAGCATTTAGTCCATTTACATTTAAAGTTAATATTGTTATGTGTGAATTTGATCCTGTCATTATGATGTTAGCTGGTTATTTTGCTCGTTAATTGACGCAGTTTCTTCCTAGTCTTGATGTTCTTTACAATTTGGCATGTTTTTGCAGTGGCTGGTACCGATTGTGCCTTTCCATGTTTAGTGCTTCCTTCAGGAGCTCTTTTAGGGCAGGCCTGGTGGTGACAAAATCGCTCAGCATTTGCTTGTCTGTAAAGTATTTTATTTCTCCTTCACTTATGAAGCTTAGTTTGGCTGAATATGAAATTCTGGGTTGAAAATTCTTTTCTGTAAGATTGTTGAATGTTGGCACCCACTCTCTTCTTGCTTGTAGAGTTTCTGCCGAGAGATCAGCAGTTATTCTGATGGGCTTCCCTTTGTGGGTAACCTGACCTTTCTCTCTGGTTGCCCTTAACATTTTTTTCTTCATTTCAACTTTGGTGAATCTCACAATTATATGTCTTGGAGTTGCTGTTCTCGAGGAGTATCTTTGTGGTGTTCTCTGTATTTCCCGAATCTGAATGTTGGCTTGCTTTGCTGGATTGGGGAAGTTCTCCTGGATGATATCCTGCAGAGTGTTTTCCAACTTGGTTCCATTCTCCCCGTCATTTTCAGGTACACCAATCAGACGCAGATTTGGTCTTTTCACATAGTCCCATATTTCTTGGAGGCTTTGTTCATTTCTTTTTATTCTTTTTTTTCTAAACTTCCCTTCTTGCTTCATTTCATTCATTTCATCTTTCATCACTGATACGCTTTCTTCCAGTTGATCTCATCATCTCCTGAGGCTTCTGCATTCTTCACATAGTTCTCGAGCCTTGGCTTTCAGCTCCATCAGCTCCTTTAAGCACTTCTCTATATTGGTTATTCTAGTTACACATTCGTCTAAAGTTTTTTCAAAGTTTTCAACTTCTTTGCCTTTGGTTTGAATTTCCTCCTGTAGCTCGGAGTAGTTTGATCGTTTGAGGCCCTCTTCTCTCAACTCGTCAAAGTCATTCTCTGTCCAGCTTTGTTCCATTGCTGGTGAGGAACTGCATTCCTTTGGCAGAGGAGAGGTGCTCTGCTTTTTAGAGTTTCCAGTTTTTCTGCTCTGTTTTTTCCCCATCTTTGTGGTTTTATCTACTTTTGGTCTTTGATCATGGTGATGTACAGATGGGTTTTTGGTGTGGATGTCCTTTCTGTTTGTTAGTTTTCCTTCTAAAAGACATGACCCTCAGCTTCAGGTCTGTTGGAGTTTGCTAGAGGCCCATTGCAGACCCTGTTTGCCTGGGTATCAGCAGTGGTGTCTGCAAAACCGTGGATTTTCGTGATCCGCGAATGCTGCTGTCTGATCGTTCCTCTGGAATTTTTGTCTCAGAGGAGTACCCGGTTGTGTGAGGTGTCAGTCTGCCCCTACTGGGGGGCGCCTCCCAATTAGGCTGCTTGGGGGTCAGGGTCAGGGACCCACTTGAGGAGGCAGTCTGCCCATTCTCAGATCTCCAGCTGCATGCTGGGAGAACCACTGCTCTCCTCAAAGCTGTCAGACAGGGACATTTAAGTCTGCAGAGGTTACTGCTGTCTTTTTGTTTGTCTGTGCCCTGCCCCCAGAGGTGGAGCCTGCAGAGGCAGGACGGCCTCCTTGAGCTGTGTTGGGCTCCACCCAGTTCGAGCTTCCTGGATGCTTTGTTTACTTAAGAGAGCCTGGGCAATAGCCAGTGCCCCTCCCCCAGCCTTGCTGCTGCCTTGCAGTTTGATCTCAGACTGCTGTGTTAGCAATCAGCGAGACTCCGTGTGCGTAGGACCCTCCGAGGCAGGTGCCGGATATAATCTCCTGGGGTGCCATTTCCTAAGCCCGTCGGAAAAGCACAGTGTTAGGGTAGGAGTGGCCCGATTTTCCAGGTGCCGTCTGTCACCCCTTTCTTTGACCAGGAAAGAGAACTAACTCCCTGACCCCTTGCACTTCCCGAGTGAGGCAATGACTCGCCCTGCTTCAGCTAGTGCACAGTGCACTTCACCCACTGTCCTGCACCCACTGTCTGGCACTCCCTAGTGAGATGAACCCAGTACCTCAAAAGGAAATGCAGAAATCACCCGTCTTCTGCGTCGCTCATGCTGGGAGCGGTAGACTCGAGCTGTTCCTATTCGGCCATCTTGGCTTCTCCTCCCATTATTTTTTAATATTTTCTGAAAATCTTCTTTAAAGAGAGAAAGCCAAATGTCACCCACTTTTTCATAAAACCTTATAGGCAAATCTATTATTCTTTCCTTTTTTTGAGGTGGATTTTCCCTCTTGTTGCCCAGGCTGGTGTGCAATGATGCAATCTCGGTTTACTGCAACCCCCTGCCTCCCAGGTTCAAGCAATTCTCCCGCCCCAGCCTCCTGAGTAGCTGGGATTAGAGACATGTCACACCATGCCCAGCTAATTTTGTGTTTTTAGTAGAGACGGGGTTTTTCCTTGTTGGTCAGGCTGGCCCTGAACTCCTGACCTCAGGTGATCCACCTGTCTCGGCCTCCCCAAGTGTTGGGATTACAGGTGTGAGCCACTGTCCCTGGCCATTTTTTTTAAAGATAACGTCTTGCTCTGTCACCCTCCTCACCATATTATAGCTCTGGGGCCAAACTGCATCACAATGATAATCATGGAGCCACAAGAAGAATCCACTCAGCTTTGTAAGATGCTGCCCAAGGGGTTGCTTGGAGTAACCAAATTAACATTTTTCATTCTGCTCAGAGCAAAATACATGTGACAAAACATAGACACGTGCCACTTTGCTTAGCACCCAGTGTCAAACTGGTAAGACCCAAACTTGCTCTCAGATAGGCCGTGCCACCTCTAAATCTTTTTAGAAGCTTCTGCATATTAATAGGCATCCCTAGACGAGACTAATTTGGGAGCCCTCATTTTTAAATGCACTTCAGGGCATTATTCATTTGGAATGTTCCACTGTAAGTTATCTTTAGTAAGATTTTGCCATTTCTGTAAGACTTTGCTGCTTCCCAGGCCTAATGAATTAGCCAGAAGGAACTAAGTTTTCCAGAAATTAATGATCCTATTGTTACCTAATATATTGTCTTTACTCCCAGGTTCCCTTGATTGACTTAGCCAATGATTTTTTTTCCTACCTAAGCGTGCGAGGAAAATGAAACAAAGGGGTAGAACACAAAAATCCCTGTGAATTTTCAAAAGCCAAATTTTACAACCCTCCAAAATTATCATTTACTACCACTTTCCTTCTGACCCATTCAGATGTAGGAGGTCTCTAACTGGAACTGGATTCAAGACAGTTAACTACTGGATCAAATCTGATCCTGGACACTGTCCCGTTTCTGGATGTTCTAAAACATCCAGTCAGTCATGGCTGGATAGCAGTTTGGAACAGAAAATTGCTCAAAGAAACTCAGAGCTCAAAACACAAATCCATGGAGCTATGAAATCCGAGAGAGAATTTACCATGATCCCCAGCTGCTCTGAGAGGTCAAAGTGCACAAGTGTTACAGAATCCTGAGACGTCACTTTTCTGCCTGAAACCTCTGGCTGGTGGTGCCTTTACCTGTGTTTTGCTCGGGCCCACTGGGTTCGTTCTGTCCACTCGGCTCATGCTAGTGGTGTGGATCCCACACCTGCCAAGGATGAGCTGGGTACAGAGCAGTGAATGGTGTGTGAGCAAGCAAGCATGGGATCTGACCACTGCACACAGCCAAGCATGCCAGCTGCAGTGGGGTGGGCAGCTCCAGGTACCGGCACAGGTGCCAGCTCCCTGTGAGGCTGCAGCTGGACCAGACCGACTGCAAACAGCTTCCACTGTGTGTATCAGGGAATGCAGTGGTGCCTGGAAACTTGGAGATGCAGGAACTGCAGAGCCCCAAAGAAGGCATCACAGCCCTGGCTTGGGGAGCTCCTAGGTCTGGGCTCCCTGAAGGGCCACAGCTCTTGTCTCCTTCTCTCTTCTCTTCTTCTTGCCTGCAATTTGGTAAGCAAGGGGTGCGTTTCAGCCCTGTTTATGTTACACCTCTTTCAGCCCTGCTAGTTGGCAGGTCCCGAGTTCTTGTCCTGAGTCCAGGAAGAATGAGGTATGTGGGCAAGTAGAAGGTGAGCAAGGTGAAGAGGTGCTTTATTGAGCAACAGTAGAGCTCAGAGGAGAACTGCAGTGGGTAACTCCTTTCTGCAGGCAGGTCATCCCAAAATCTGTTCAGCTCTCAGCAGCTGAGAGAGACGCACTGTGGTTAGCTGTTCCCACATTGCTGAGGCTGTTCGAGCTGAGGAGTGCCTTCAGGCCAGTGCTGAGCCACTCTTAGACCCACCTCAACCTCCCTCTTGTGCTCGTCACTGCCCAAAGTCTGGAGGGGGCTGAGGTGGCAGGAGGCTGGCATGTCAGCACTGCCCTGAGCTTGCACAAACCGGGCCGGGTTGCGACTGTGCCTGGGTTCAGCCTCAACTTGGATCCGAAGTTGGAGTGGGCTCTGGGAGTGGAGAGATGCCAGATGGTGGGACCAGGTACGACTGAGCCTGTGGGGGCAGGGGGCTTGCTGGGCCTCTAAGAGTGCAAAGATGCCCGGGTTTGCAGTCATGGCTGGATGGCTGCAGCTGTGCCTGGGAGGGCGGGGCTCCTGCTTGCCAATTTAGAAGGGGTGGGGCTCCCACCCGTTCCTGGCTCCCACCAGCTTCGAGGAGCGCACAGCCCCAGCCACTCCTCCCCACTGCAGCCAGTGTCTCCGTAGCAACTGCTCCACGTGGACCACTGCTGCCATCACAGAGCAGTCCTTGCAGGTGCCTTTCTTGTACCTCAGCACTCCTGGGGGTCATTAGAAGCCCTAGCAACACTGCTCACCACACTATAGCTCCGGAGGCCCTAGCAGTCCTGCTCCCACAGATCCCACTTCTGACACCATCTATTAAAAGAAAATCTTCAGCTGAATTAAATTTAAAGGAACTTAATTGAGCAATGAATGATTCACGAATCAGGCAGCCCCCAGAATCACAGCAGATTTGGTGAGACTCCAGCACAGCTACATGGTGGAAGATTTATAGACAATAAAGGGAACGTGATGTACAGAAATCTGAAGTGAGAAGTGAGGTCCAGAAGCAACTGGGTCCCTTACAGTTCTCAGCAGTGAGGTCCAGAAACAACTGGACTGGTTCCAGTGCTCAGCATTTGCCTTATCTGAACACAGCTGAACACTCAGCAGTGTGTGAGTGGCAGAAGTTTGGCAGTTGGGATTGGCCAGGACTCAGCTATAGTTACAGGCGCATACTCCTAAGTTAGGTTTTCAGTCTTTCTACCTATTAATTTAGGTTGCAGTTTGTCCACAGGGACTCAAATCTAGAAGTACAGAGTCCTTCCCAGGCCATATTTAGTTCACTGTAACAGTTTCTATTATGACCTCACTGACAGTTCTTTTTCTCTGAATTCTCCTTTCTTCTCAACAGCTTATCCAAATGTTCCATTAGTCCCTGTTCATCCCGCCCTGCAGTTCTCCTTGACTGATTCAGCCCTTTGTGGTTTGCAGTCCTGTTTCTCTACAGCTTGGACCCCTTCAGTCTTTCCATCATAGGTTTAACTCTCTGTTGAATGCTTCTTTGTAGCTACACAAAATTTACCTTAAGCTCAAAAAATTCAAACTGAAAGCCACATCCTCTTCTCTTCCCTTATGTGTATGGTATTACTACCATGCAGCCAGTGACCCAAAATGGGATTTCTTCTGGGCTTTTCTTGCTTAGATTCAGGCTCATCTGGTGTCAAGCCTTGTTACTTTTGTTTCCTTGTTCTTTTATTTTTAATTTTTTTTTTCTTTTGAGACAGAGTTTCACTCTTGTTGTCCAGGCTAGAGGACAGTGGTGTGATCTCGGCTCACTGCAGCCTCCACCTCCCGGGTTCAAGCAATTCTCCTGCCTCAGCTCCTGAGTAGCTGGTATTACAGGCATTTGCCACCATGCCCGGCTAATTTTGTATGTTTAGTAGAGATGGGGTTTCTCTGTTTTGATCAGGGTGGTCTCAAACTCCCGACCACAGGTGATCCACCTGCCTCGTCCTCCCAAAGGGCTGGGATTACAGGCGTGAGCCACCGAGACTGGCCTGCTTGTTGTTTTCATCTCATCCTGATTTCTGAATACAGGAGAGGAGCTGAGTTGGTGTTCACTAACAAGCACGGAAGCTTTGTTACATTTACAGTGTCATTCTTGGCAAAACCTGAATGGTATGTTTGTGGGGTGATGAGATTCAGTCCCCTGTGACCTGTGCATCTGGCCAACACTGTGGTGACATCCTTAGGAATCAATGGGGAGGGAGAAAGTATTCAGGAGTTAGTGGGTCACATTTGACAAGGGCCAATAAAGAAATATGCAAAGACAAAAATCAAGAAGAACATTGTCATATGTTACACCTTTCGTTTATATAAATTTATGTCAATGATTCTAGCTTATGTTAATATGCAATGTATACAATATGCTAACATATACAATATATGTTTATAGTTTAAACATTTCTGTCATGTTTTCAGATTCTTTAAAGATTATATTACGCTTCCTATTTCAGATAGCTGTTTAAAATGAGTAAGGAGAAACGGATGTGTGCATCAGTTCTAACTGTTTATGGACTAAAACTAGTTGATTTCTTGGTTAAGAACAAAAAGTGACAACCTAATTAACTGAAAATTTTAAGTAGGCAATTATAGTTTTAGCTTTAACGTAAAATATTAACTATGCTCCATTCTTGCATTTTTAACCTAATACTCAATATAAATCGCTACATGCCGTTTCAGATCAAGGTTCTACTTGTGATCTCTCATGAGTTTTTCAAGGTTTTAATTATCTGAGATGTAACAATGTACCAGTAACCTTACTGGCTTAAACCAGGAATTTATTTTTTTACATGTCACAATTTTCTGGGTCAAGACACTGGACAGGGCGGTGTGGGTTGGTTGCTTCATGATGTCCTTGGTCTCATCTGGAAGGACTCTAGTGGCTGGGGACATGGAACAGGCACCCAGCCCTCTCTTCGTGGCCAGCACGGACTTCCTCCCAGTCTGGCAGCGTCAGGTAGTCAGGTTTGTCTGGTTTCTCCCAGGGTGTGTGTCCCAGAGGCCCAGGCAGAATCTGTAAGGCCTCTCATGATCGCCCCTCAGAAGTCCCAGAGCATCTCTCCTGCCACACTGCCCAGTCGCACTCATCACTGAGGCCAGCCATGATTCAAGGGCGGAAGGTGATTAGATTCCACCTCTTGATGAGAAGCATAGTAGGAACCTGCAGCAGTCTTTAATAAACCACAGCTTGTCCTCTGGTCGCAAACTATTAACATTTCTGCTACATGCAAATTATGCTTTGCCCCTCTCAAGAGCCCCAGAATGGTTTTCCTTATGGCACTGGCTGGTAGCCCAACTGAATCCTGAATCAGGTTGTGGTGGCCTGTCATCTGCACCAACACACACACAGCTGCAGTGAGGACTGAATCAGGTTGTGGTGACCTGTCATCTGCCCCTCCCCCCGACACAGCAACAGTGTGGACTGAATCAGATTGTGGTGGCCTGTCATCTGACCCCCCACACACAGCCACAGTGGGGACTGAATCAGGTTGTGGTGACCTATCATCTGAGCCCACAAACTCAGCCGCAGTGAGGGGACTGGTGTGAAAACAGTCGGCATTTCCCTTTAGAAGCTGTTGGTGGGAGGCAAGAAGGAAGTGCTGCCCTGCAGGCCCCGTCTAACAGTTGGTCATTCCCATGGGGTGCCTGTTACAGTTCTGTGATTAGTGCCCAGTCCTGGTCCCTGAGAACGGCGCCCAGTCCTGGTCCCTGAGAATGGTGTTTGTGTCCTTTTTCCTTCAGTGCCTGGGTTGCCTTTGACCAAGTTTCCCTGCCTTTTTCTTATGGTCAATAGGGTATTCAATGGCTTCTTTTTCATTTTTTTTCCTTTTCTTTTCTTTCTTTTTTCTACTTTGGCCTTTTGAGACAAGAAATTATTTCTTTATATTTTCTCTAAATTCTGTTTGAAAACTGAACCTCCTTGTTTAGATCATGTCCCTCTCCTGTCATATTTATTCAGTGACAGTTAGGGGAGGCTGGTAGCACTTTCCATGTTCTTCCCAGATGTCTCCTTAGGCAGATCCCTGAGATGGTGCAGTGCCCTTTCAGTTTCCATGTTGTGGCCGTAGTTTTCCCACAGTCCCTCAGCACGTAACTCTCAGGCCTTTTCTCCAGTTTCCAATGACATTTTCTCACCATCCTTCAGGCCCTGACCAAGAGTCTTGATGCTCTTCCAGGTTGCATGAATGGTCTCCTTGAGGCCCAGTTACAGGTCAGCCTCACAGTCGTGTCACATATTGTAGCTTCTGATTACCACAGCAGCTCATTTCCAGCGGTCATATTCTGTTCCAGTTTTCTATTCTGAAGAAACCATCCCCAAAACTTGGCAGCTTAAAACAACTCATTATTACTTGTTTTTTGGCTTTGAGAGTCTTGGTGGTCAGCTCATCTCACACACAGTTGCAGCCAAGCTGGATTGTGTGAAAGCACAGTGGGGTGGTGTGCAGGGTGGCTCACTAGTGGTTGGGAGTGGATGTTGCTGGAGGCTCACTAGTTGTTGGAAATCGGTGTTGCTGGAGGCTCAGTGGGGGATGTCAATGCATGTAGCTAGTCATGGACTGGCAGTGTGGTTTCCATCATGTCTCAGGGTAGTGGGATTTCCTGCCTGGTGACTGGCTTTCTCCTGGATAAGTGTTCTGTTTTCTCAGCCTGGCTTCTGAAGTCCCCAAATACCACCTTTGTCACCTTCTGTTGGCCAAATAAGTCAGTAGTCTGGTCAAGGTTTAAGGGGAATTGGTCCTCACAGAGAGAGGAGCAGGAAAGAAGTTGTCACCTTTAGTCTACCAGAAATGACATTTTTATAACAAGTTTGTTCCAAATACATTCCAGTTCCCCTTTTGAATACTTTTTGACTCACAGGGTATTTCAAAGTTTATTACTTGGTTTTCAGACATTTGAGGCTTTTCTGGATATCAATTTGTTGTTGGTTTCTAATTTAATTTCGAGTGTTCAGACAACATCTTTTGTATACTATTTCAGGCTTGAACCTTTTCTCAATCGATCGACATACAGTTTATCTTGGTACTGCCAAGTACCATTTGGGTCAGGATTTTGTCATTTAGATCCATATTTTTCCTATATTTTTATCTGGTTCTTCCATCAGTTACTGAGAGAGCACTATTAATTCACCAGCTATAATTTTGGATTGTCAATTTCCTGCTTTTGTCTGTTGTTTTTGATTCACATACTTTGAGGCTCTGTGTGTGTGTGTAATTTGTGTGCACTTTGAGGCACAATTTATAATTGTAACATCATCCTCTCTGATTATTTTATTTTTATTAAATTACCCTGTTTATTTCTGGTGATATATTTTGCTCTGAAGCCTCTTTCATCTAGTGTTAACATCTCTGTTGAAGCTTTTTATGATTAGTGTCTGGATAGCATATTTTTAAGATTAGTGTCTGCATAGCATATTTTTTCTCATACTTTGTTTGTGTCTTTGTGTTTAAATTGTGTCTCTGTGGATGCCATATTGTTGGGTCTTGCTTTCCTCTCAGGTCTGGCAGTCTCTGTCTTAAGTAGAGTATTTGTCCAGTTACATTGTAACTAATCATTGCTAAGGTTGGATTTAGGTCTGCCATTTTTCTACTTATTTTCTATTTGTTTGTTTATTTTTTTAAGACAGGGTCTTACTCTGTCACCCAGACTGTAGTGCAATGGTGCAATCTTGGCTCACTGCAACCTCTGCCTCCCAGGCCCAACCAATCCTCACTTGAGCCCCCTGAGTAGCTGGGACTACAGGTGCATGGCAACACACCTGGCTAATTTTTATATTTTTTGTAGAGATAGAGTTTTGCCATGTTGCACAGGCTGATCTTGAACTCCTGAGCTCAAGCAACCTACCCACCTTGGCATCCCAAATTGTTCATATTACAGGCATGAGCCACCATGCCTGGCCTTAGTCTGTGTTTTGATCTTCTATATATTCTTTCCTAACTTCTTTTGGGTTAAATATTTCTAAATATTCCAGTTTGATTAATCTTTTGGCTTTTTGAAATAATTTTTTATAGGCTGGGCATGTTGGCTTATGCTCATAATCTCAGCTCTGTGGGAGTCCAAGGGAGGTGGATTGCTTGAGCCCAGGAGTTTGAGACCAGCCTGGGCAACATGGGAAAACCCTCTCTACAAAAAAACCAAACCAAACTTTAGCCTGACATCTTGGTGTGCATCTGTAGTCCCAACTATTCGGGAGGCTCAGGTGGGAGGGTTGCTTGAGCCTGGGAGGTTGAGGCTGCAATGAGCTGTGATCATGCCATTGCACTCCTGCCAGGGCAACAGAGTAAGATCCTGTGTCAAAAAAGATCATTTTTTATAAATAATTTATTATTTTGAATTTTGGTAACAAACACATACCTTAAAATTTACCATCATAACCAGTTGTAAGTGTACAGTTTTGTAGAGTTAAGAATATTTACAGTGTTGTGTAGCAGATTTCTAGATGTTTTTTTATCTTGGAAAACTCTATACTCATTCAACAACTATTAATTTCCCGTTCCTTCCACCTCCTGGCAAGTACTATTCTACTTTGTGTTTCTAAAACTTTGGCTTATATACCTAGGTTTATATAATATTTGTTGTTTTGTAAGTAGGTTCCATGTTATGTGTCAGATGTGTCAGGATTTTCTTCCTTTCTATTGCTGAATAATATTTCTTCATATATATATATATATATATTTCTCTCTCTCTCTCTATATATATATATATATCCTTTTGTTTATCCATCTATTCCTGGATGGACGTTTTGGTTTCTTCCACTTGTGGCTGTGTAATGATCCTGTGAACATAGGTGTGGAAGTATCTGTTGGAGGTCCTGCTACTAGTTATTCTGTCTCTGTAGAAGTTGGATGGCTGGATCATATGGTCATTTTATTTTGTTTTTTTTGAGGAGCCAGTTCATATTTCCACCAACAGTGTTCAAGGGTTTCAGTTTCACCTGCACTTGTTACTTTCTGTTGGGTTAGAAGTGATGTCCCATTGTGGTTTCTATTTGCATTTCTTTAATGACTAGTGATGTTACACATCTTCTCATATATCTCATGTATCTGTTGGCTATTTTTATATCATCTTTGCATCTTTGGATAAATGTTCTTTGTCCATTTTTTAATCACTTTATTTTGTTGTTGTGTTGTAGTGGGGTTTTTTGGTCATGATCATTCATTTATCTCACAGTTCATTCTTGTTACTTGGGCCAGGGTCATGGTCATTCATTATCTCTCAGTTCATCCTCATTACGTTGGGTAAACAGTCATGCTGCAGGGTATAGATTATGTTATTCTGTTACTTTCAGGTAGAATTGGGGTCTAGGTTCTAATTGTTTCTAAGTTCAGATTCTGAATGAGAATCAGCAGAGGTAGACCACTGCTGCTGAGGCCTGGGGATTGCTGGGGAAAAGGCAGGAAACAGATACGGACCTGACCATGGAAGGTTTGTGTTTCACGGCTCCCATCTGGGTACCCAAGGAACCTACATGTAGCTCGTGTGTGGAAAGCCTACATTGCCCACTCAAAGCAATTGAGGATGGAACAGTCTTGGGGCTGGAGCTCATTATTTGGAATGATAACCACATCTGCACAGAGAGGACCTGATAAGATGTTGTCCTTCCATGTATATCTGGGAATCCTGTGTAGGGTCTCTCTGTAAGGACAAGGGCAGTGTTGGCTCCTTGGCCTCTAGTTAGCCTCACAAGTAGTCTAGTAAAGGCTTTGCAAACTTGTCACCATCTGTGGACATTCTGGCCAGCTCTTGTTTTCACCCTACTGACTTCTTCAGACACTAGGCTTTTGCTTTAGACCATTCATGGTTTTTCTTCCTCTTCAAATCAGTAATCAATAAATCGTCTTCAAGTCAATAAATTTCCACTCCTTTAGGAAACCCTGATCTTCTGGTCACACCAAGGTTTAATTATCTGGTTTGATTGTTTTTCTGTTTTGTTTTTTTTTTCCTTCTTCCTAGGGGATTCTAGTAATTCTAGTTTGATGTCTCACTTTCTCCATTTTTTATTTCTTAGTTTTCTTCTGTGATTATTTTCACTGCAGCTGCAGGGCCTAATCCTAGGTTGGCAGAGAACTAGCACTTACTCTGCCCTAATTGGAATCCAGGAGAGATAGGAGGTGCCCTAGTGTGAAAATGTGTTTGCTCCTCTCTGCTTCTGGTAGTCTCTCTGTAGGAGTTCTTTACGTATTCTGTATGTTCACTTCTTATGAGATACATGATGAGCAACTATAGATTGAATGTCTCCGATCCAAAAATCTGAAATCCCAAATGCTCCAAAGTCTGAAACTTTTTGAGTGCCAACATGACACTCAAAGGAAATGCTTATTGGAGCATCTCAGACTCAGGTGTTTGAATTCGAGATGCTCAACCAGTAAGAATAGTGCAAATATTACAAAATCTGAAACACATCCCAAGCATTTCAAATAAGGGACACTCAACTGGTATTTTCTTTTATTCTACAGTTTGCCTTTTACCCTGTTGGTTGTGACCTTTGTGGTACAGAAGTTTTTAGGTTTGATATATTTTTGCTTTTACTGCCTGAGCTTTTAATGTCATATCCTAAAAATTATTGACAAATTCATCATCATAAAGCATTTTCCAAATTTGTTTTCCCTAGGAGTTTGATAGTTCTAGTTTTACATTTAGGTTTATAATTCACTTTGAATTAATTTTAACGTGGTGTAAGGTAAGAGTCCAACTTCACTGTTTTGCATGTAGATATACAATTTTCCCAACACAATTTGTTGCAGAAACTGTCCTTCACCATTGAGTGGTCTTGGCATCCTTGTGGAAGGTCATTGGACCATATATGCCAGGGTTGGTTTCTAAGGTCTCTGTTGTGTTGGTCCATAAGTGTGTCAAGAGTGTCTTTATGCCATGACCACATTTTTTTTTTGGCTTATTGCAGTTTTGTAATTGTTTTGAGACCTTTAATTTTGTTCTGTTTCAAGATCGATTTGCCTATTCATGGGCACTGGAGATTCCATATGAGTTTTAAGATAGGTTTTTCTGTTTATCAAAAATGTCATTGGAATCTTTATAAGGATTGTAATGAATCTAGGTCACTTCGAGTAGTGTTGACATCATTCCAAGATGAAATCATCTAATCTGCAAACCCAGCTTTTCTTTTCATGTATTTGTGTTTAATTTCTTTCAACAGTGTTTTGTAGTTTTCTGTGTTCAAATCTTTTGCCCTCTTGGTTAAGCTTATTTATAATTTTTTAATGCTGTTGTAAATGTAATTTTTTTTTTTTTTGAGATGGAGTCTTGCTCTGTCTCCCAGGCTGGAGTGCAGTGGCACTATCTCAGGTCACTGCAACCTGCACCTTCCTTATTCAAGCAATTCTCCAACGTCAGCCTCTCAAGTACCTGGGATCACAGGTGCACGCCACCACGCCCAGCTAACTTTTTGGTATTTTTAGTAGAGACAGGGTTTCTCCATGTTGACCAGGCTAGTCTTGAACTTGTGACCTCAGGTGATCTGCCCGCCTCGGCCTCCCAAACTGCTGGGATTGCTAGCATGAACCACCGCACCCGGCCAAATGTCATTCTTTTTAAAAATTTCTTTTGTTTTCTCTTTCTTTTCTTTTCTTTCTCTCTCTTTCTTTCCTTTCTTTCTTTTTTTTGAGACCGCGTCTCACTCTGTTTCCTAAGCTGCAGCACAGTGGCACAATCTCAGCTGACTGCAACCTCCAACTTCCAAGTTCAAGCAATTCTCCTGCCTCAGCCTCTCAAGTAGCTGGGACTACAGGTGTCTGCCACTATGCCCAGCTAATTTTTGTATTTTTAATAGAGATAGAGTTTTACTATTTATATTAGAGATGGGGTTGGCCCAGCTGGTCACGAACTCCTGACCTCAGGTGGTCCACCCGCCTTGGCCTCCCAAAGTGCTGGGATTACAACTGTGAGCCACTGCACCTGGCCTCTTTTTAAAATTTTATTTGCAGATTGTTCATTGTTAGTTTATAGAAATGCAACTGACTTGAGTGTGTTACTATATCCTGAAACTTTGTTGAATTTCATTATTCTACCAGTATTTTGTGGAATTTCAGAATTTTTACACATTACATCATGTTGTCTGTGAACAAAATTTTGTACTTTTTCCTTTCCAATTTGCATGCTTTTTATTACTTTCTCTTGCCTAATTATTCTAAGTAGAAATTCCAGTGCTGTGGTGAATAGAAGTGGCAGGAAGAGAAGTTGCTATCTTATTCCTGACCCTAGAGGAAAAGATTTTAGTTTTTCACGATTGAGTATGATGTTAGCTGTGAGCTTTTCATGTATAATCTTTATTTACTGAGGAGTTTCCATATATTACTAATTCTTTGAGTGTTTTTATTACAAAAGGTGTTCATCTGGCTCTGGAACCAGATAAATGTTGACCTGATAGAATGGATTGGAATGTCCCCTTCTGGTTTTTGAACATTTTTGGAATATTTTGCAGAGGATTGGCATTAATTCTTCTTGAAATGTTTGGTAAAATTTTCCAGTGAAGTTATCTGGACCTGGAATTTTCTTTTTGGTGGGGTTTTTGATTACTGGTTGAATCTTCATACTAGTTACAGGTCTCTTTGGATTTTTTATTTCTCCGTGATGCAGTATGGTGGTTTGTGTTTCTAGGAATTTATAAATTTATTCTAGGTTGCCCAGTTTTGTGGCATATGGTTGCTCACATTAGTGTCTTGTAATCTTTTTCATTTCTGTGGCATCTGTTGTATTGTCAACTCTTTTATTTATGATTTTAGTATTTGAGATTTCTCTTTTTTTCTTAATATAGCTGTGAGTTTTAAAATTTTTATTGATCTTTAAAAAAACAAACTCAGTGTTTTTTTTCCTTTTTTTCTGGTCTTATTCTGCTTATCTCTGCTCTAATCTGTTATTTTCTTCCTTTTGCTTGGTTTGTCATTAGTTTTTTTTTTTCCTCCTTCAGGTGTAATATTAGGTTATTGATTTGAGATCTTTCTTCTTTTTAATTTAAGCACCTGCAGCTATAAGCTTCCCTTTAGCAAGGGTTTGAGATCTTTCTTCTTTTTAATTTAAGCATCTGCAGCTGTAAGCTTCCCTTTAGCACGGGTTTGAGATCTTTCTTCTTTTTAATTTAAGGATCTGCAGCTGTAAGCTTCCCTTTAGCATGGGTTTGAGATCTTTCTTCTTTTTAATTTAAGCATCTGCAGCTGTAAGCTTGCCTTTAGCACTGCCTTTGTTGCCTCCTCCAGAGTTTGAGTATGTCATGGTTTCGTTTTCATTTGCTAAAACATTTTTTGTCCTATTGTAATATAATTGTGTTGTTTTTAATAAAGGTAATTAATGAAACACATAATGAATTGTGCTTCTGTTTTTATAATATTTTAAGCATTCTTAACTCAGAAATGTAAATTTTAGAAAAAAATTCCAGGCCAGGCACACTGGCTCACACCTGTAATCCCAGCACTTGAGGAGGTCGAGGCGGGAGGATCATCTGAGGTCAGGAGTTGGAGACCACCCTGGCCAACATGGTGAAACCCTGTCTTTACTAAAAATAGAAAAAAATATATAAAAGTTAGCTGCGTGTCATGGCGGGTGCCTGTAATCCCAGCTACTCTGGAGGCTGAGGCAGGGGAATCACTTGAATCTGGGAGGCGGAGGTTGCAGTGAGCTGAGATTGCACCACTGCACTCCAGCCTGGGTGACAGAATGAGAGTCCGTCTCAAAAAAAAAGAAAAAAGAAAAAATTTCAGACATATTTATTTGTATTTCAATTTAGAAACTATGATCTCCTAAGTGTATTGACACAGCAACCTGACATAAAGATAAAGAATAATAAGCATATAACAAAACAGAAACTTGCAAATACCTGTTTTTTATTAATTTTTAATTATATGTATTTAAAAATTGCCGGGTGCAGTGGCTTACACCTGTAATCCCAGCACTTTGGGAGGCTGAGGTAGGCAGATCACATGAGGTCAGGAGTTTGAGACCAGCTTGGCCAACATGGTGAAACTTCATCTCTATTAAAAATCAAAAAATTAGCCAGGCTTGATAGCATGCATCTGTATTCCCAGCTACTCGGGAGACTGAGGCAGGAGAATTGCTTGAACATGGGAAGCAGAGGTTGCAGTGAGCCAAGATAGTGCCACTGCACTCCAGCCTGGGTGACAGAGTGAGGCTCTGTCTCAAAAAAATAAAAATTGTCTGGGCGCGGTGGCTCACACCTGTAATAGCAGCACTTTGGGAAGCTGAGGCAGGCAGATCACGTCAGGAGATCGAAACCATCCGGGCTAACACAGTGAAACGCCATCTCTACTAAAAATACAAAAAATTAGCTGGGCGTGGTGGCGGGTGCCTGTAGTTCCAGCTACTCTGGAAGTTGAGGCAGGAGAATGGTGTGAACCTGGGAGGTGGAGCTTGTAGTGAGCTGAGAATGCGCCACTGGACTCCAGCCTGGGTGACAGAGCAAGACTCTGTCTCAAAAAAATAAAATAAAATAAAGCTAAGGTGTGGTTGACACACAAAAATTACACATATTTAATATATACCGTGTGTGTGTGTGTGTGTGTGTGTGTGTGTGTTTGTGTGTGTTACGGAGGTTTTACTCTTGTTGTCCAGGCTGGAGTGCAGTGACACGATCTCAGCTAACTGCAACCTCCGCCTCCCGGGTTCAAGCAATTCTCCTGCCTCAGCCTCCTCAGTAGCTGGGATCACAGGCGTGCGCCCCCACGCCTGGCTAATTTTTGTATTTTTTTAGTAGAGACAGGGTTTCACCATGTTGGCCAGGCTGGTCTCGAACTCCTGACCTCAGATGATCCACCTGCCTCGGCCTCCCAAAGTGCTGGGATTACAGGCGTGTGACACCGAATATATACATCTTAATGAGTATAGAGATAAGTATTCGCCCCAGGACTCATCACAACAAATAATGCCGTAAACTTGACCATCACTCCCCATATATTTCTCATTCTCACCCTTTTTAAAAAATGAGACCGGGAGTGGCGGCTCATGCCTGTAATCCCAGCAATTTGGGAGGCCAAGGCAGGTGGATCACGAGGTCAGGAGATCAAGATCATCCTGGCTAACACAGTGAAACCCCATTTCTACTAAAAATACAGAAAATTAGCCATGCGTGATGGCGGGCACCTGTAGTCCCAGCTACTCGGGAGACTGAGGCAGGATAATGGTGTGAACTCGGGAGGCAGAGCTTGCAGTGAGCCGAGATCGTGCCACTGCACTCCAGCCTGGGCAACAGAGTGTGACTCCGTCTCAAAAAAAAAAAAATGAGATGACCATTTCACATAAAATATACCCTCTTAAGTACTTTTTTAAGTGTACAATACAGGACGGCCATGCATCAGAGATATATGTGGGTTTGGTTCCAGACCACTGCAATAAAGTTTTATACAATTTCTTTTGGTTTCCTAGTGCATGTAAAAGTATGTTTATACTGTGCTGTATAAAGTGTGCAATAGCATATGTCTACAAAGTATGCACACTTTAATTTACAAATACTTTATTGTTAACAAGTGCTAACAGTCATCTGAGCCTTCAGAAAGCTGCAATCTTTTTTTGTGTGTGTGACAGGGTTTTACTCTGTGGCTCAGGCTGGAGTAATTGCAGCCTCAACCTCATGCTCAATCAAACCCCCACCTCAGACTCCTGACTAGCTGGGACTACAGGTGCATGCCACCGTGTCCAGCTAATTTTTGTATTTTTTTTTGTAGAGATGTGGTTTTGCCATGTTGCCTTGATGTCCTGGGCTCAAGCAATCCACCCACCTTGGCCTCCCAAGGTGTTGGGATGACAGGTGTGAGCCACTGCACCTGGCCAAGTTTCAGTCTTCTTGCTGATGGAGGGTCTTACCTTAATGTAAGGTGGTGGTTGCTGAGCGCTGGGGTGGCTGTCGCAATTTCTTAAAAAAAGACAACATTGAAGTTTGCTGTGTCAATTGACTCTCCCTTTCACAAAAGAATTATCTGTAGCATACGATGATAGCTTTTTACCCACAGTAGAACTTTCAAAATTGGATTCAATGCTGTCAAACCTTCGTACTGCAGTACCAACTAAGTTTATGTATTATTGTAAATCATTGGGTTCAATCCTGTCAAGCCTTCCTTCTGCTGTACCAAGTTTATTCTAAATCTGTTGTCATCTCAACATTGTTTACACTGTCTTCACCACTAGTAGATTTCATCTCAAGAAACCACTTTCTTTGCTCATCCGTGGGAGCAACTCATCCTCTCACGTTTTCTCCAGAGGATGCTGCAGTCTCGCCAGATCTTCAGGCTCTGTCTCTGATTCTAGTGCTCTTGTTATTTCCACCATATCTGCAGTTACTTCCTCCACAGAAGTGGTGAACCCCTGTGTCATCAGTGAGGGTTGGAATAATCTTCCCAACTTTTCTCTCTCTCTTTTATTTTTTTGAGATGAAGTCTTGCCTGGGCTGGAGTGCAGTGATGCGATCTCAGCTCACTGCAACCTCCACCTCCCGTGTTCAAGCAATTCTCCTGCCTCAGCCTCCCAAGTGTTTGGGATTACAGTCACCCCCGACCAGGCCCAGCTAATTTTTTTGTTGTTTATAGTATAGACAGGATTTCACTATGTTGGCCAGGCTGGTCTCAAATTCCTGACCTCATGATCCACGTGCCTTGGCCTCCCAAAGTGCTGGGATTACAGGCGTGAGCCACCAAGCCCAGCCCCAACTTCTCCTAATGTTGCTATTTTGATCTTCTTTTTTAAATCATGAATGTTCTCAATGGCGTCTAGAATGGTGAATCCTTTCCAGTAGGTTTTCAATTATTTTGCCCAGATCCATCAAAGGAATCACTTGCTAGAGAAGCTATAGCTTTATGAAATATATTTTTTAAGTGATAAGACTTGAAAGTTGAAATTATTCTTTGATCCAAGGGCACCAGAATGAATGTTGGGTTAGTAGGCATGAAAACAATATTCAGCTCTTTATACATCTCTGTAAAAGCCCTTGAGTACCAGCGGCATTGTCAGTGAGTGGTAATACTTTGAAAGGAATCTTATTTCTTGAGCGGTAGTTGTCGACAGTGGGCTTAAGATATTCAGTAAACCGTATTTGTAAACCGATAGTCTGTCATCCAGGCTTTGTTCCCATTTGTAGAGTACAGGCAGAGCTGTGTTTTATCATAATTCTTCAGGGCCCTTGGATTTTCAGAATAGTAAATCATCATTGGTTTCATGTTAACATCACCAACTGCATTAGGCCTTAACAAAAGAGTCAGCATGTCCTTTGAAGCCTTAAATCCAGGCATCAACTCCTCTCTAGCTGGGAACATCCTGGATGGCATCTCCTTCTAGTAGAATGCTGTTTTGTCTTCATTGCAAATCTGTTTAGTGTAGCCATCTTAATCAATTATCTTCCAGATAGCTTTCTGCAGCTTTTCCATCAGTACTTGCTGCTTTATCTTGCGCTTTTATGTTATGAAGAAGACTTTTTTCCTTAAACTTCAAGAAACAAGCTCTTCTAGCTTCAGACTCTTCTTCTGCAGCTGCCTCACCTCTCTAAGTCTTCATAGAATTGAAGGGAGGCCGGGTGTGGTGGCTGTCACACCTGTAATCCTAGCACTTTGGGAGGCCGAGACAGGCAGATCACCTGCGGTCGGGAGTTCGACACCAGTCTAACCAACGTGGAGAAACCGCGTCTCTACTAAAAATACAAAAAATTAGCCAGGTGTGGTGGTGCATGCCTGTAATCCCAGCTACTCAGAATGCTGAGGCAGGAGAGCTTGAACTTGGGAGGCAGAGGTTGCGATGAGCCAAGATCACGCTATTGTACTCCAGCTTGGGCAAGAAAAATGAAACTCTGTCTCAAAAACAAAGAAAAAAGTAAAAAGAGAGTTAGGCTTAGGCTTAATGGATTTTTTTTTATCTTCTATCTAGATCAATTAAACTTTCTTCATAACAGCAGCAAGATTGTTTAGCTTTTTATCATTCATGTATTCACTGGAGTAATACTTTAAATTTCTTTCCAGAACACTTCCTTTGCATTCACAACTTGGCTAAGTGTTTGTTGCATGAGGTCTAGCTACTGGCCTGTCTTGCTTACAGCATGCCTTAATCACTAAGCTTAATTATTTCTTTCTTTTGGTTTAAAGTGACAGACATACAACTCTTCTTTCACTTGAACATACAGAGGCTATTGTAGGGTTATTAATTGGCCACATTTTAATATTAATAAAAAGAAGCCTGAGAAAAAGAGAGAGAAAGAGAAATGGCCCGTTGGTGGGGCAGTCAGAACAAACGCATTTGTCAATTGTTTGCTGTCTTATCCTGGTGTGATTTGTGGTTCCCAAAACAATGACAACAGTAGCATTAAAGATCACTCATTACAGATCACCATAACGATTCAATAATAAAAATCTTAAAATACTGTGAGAATGACCGAAATGTGACACAGAGACGTGAAGTGAGCACGTGCTGTAGGAACAATGGTGCCAGTCAGACCTGCTTATTGCAGGGTGGCCACAAACCTTCAATATGTAAAACACATGGTCACAAAACACAATAAAGCAAAGTGCAGTGAATCAAGTCTTTTGATAGACTCTGACAATCTCTATCTTTGAATTGGTACATTCATACCATTAGCATTCAAAGTGATTATTGATATCATTAGATTAATATCTACTATATTTGTTACTGTTTTCTATTCATTCTCCTCAGTCTCCATTCTTTTGTCTACCAGTCTTTTTCTGCCTTTTGCAGTTTTCATTGATGATTTTAGATGACTACATTTTCCCTGTCTTTCTTAGCATGTACTTCTCTTTTTAAAACTTTTTTTAACTAGTTGCCACAGAATTTGCGATATACATTTACAACAAATTCAAGTCCACTTTCAAATAACACTATCCCACTATCCCACGAATAAGACTACCTGCTTAACAAACAAAACACCTAATTCCTCAGTAACATTTATAACAAATTCAAGTCCACTTTCAAATAACACTATCCCACTATCCCACAAATAAGACTACCTGCTTAACAAAGAACACACCTAATTCCTCAATATACATTTACAACCAATTAAAGTCCACTTTCAGATAACACTATCCCACTTCACGGGTGACTACCTGCTTAACAAAGAAAACACCTGATTCCTCCCTCCCATCCTTCCATTCCATTCCTTGTATTATTGTTCCTTATTTCACTTGTGTATAAGCATACATAATCTATCTGTGTGTATTTATTATTATCTACAAACTTATTGGTCAGATCAATTATGAATAAATACATGTTTTTATTGTACCACAATTCCTCCCTCCCATCCTTCCATTCTATTCCTTGTATTAGTGTTACTCATTTCACTTGTGTTTAAGCATACATAATCTATCTGTGTGTATTTGTTATTGTCTATGAACTTCTTGGTCAGATCAATTAAGAATAAATACATAGGTTTTTATTGTACCACAATTCTTTAATGCTCTTTTTAAAAAAATGTTGATCCAGGTTTCAGTTATATATCTTTTGTTTCCCTCTAAAGAATTTCATTTAACATTTCTTGCAAGACAGGTCTCCTGGCAACAAGTTTCTTGAATTTTTATTTTTCTGAGGAAGGCCTTAATTCTCCTTCACTTTTGAAGGGTGTTTTCAGTGGGTACAGAAACTTAGGTTGGTGGGTTTTTTCTGTCAACATTTTGATTTTTTCATTTCACTGTCTTCTTGCTTTCACAGTTTCTGCAATGTTGAATGCAGTTCTTATCTTTGTGTCTCTGTAGGTAAGGTGTTTTCTGCCCCACCTCTGGTTTCTTTCAGAGTTTTCCTTTATTTTTTATTTCATATAGTTTGAAAATTATATGTCCAAGTGTAGGTTGTTGGCATTTATTCTGCCTGGTGTTCTCAGAGCTTCCTGGATCTTTGGTTTGGTGTCTGACATTAATACTGGAAGTTCTCAGACATGGTTGTTGCAGAACTTTCTTCTATTTCTTCTCCTCCTCCTGGTATTCTCATTACTCTGTTTCACCTTTTGTAGTTGTCCCACAGTCTTGGATATCACCTTCTGTTCTTTTCAGTGTTTCTTTTCTTTAGTTTTCGAAGTTTCTGATGATAAATCCTCAAGCTCAGAGATTCTTTACTCAGCTGAGTCCAGTCTACTAATAAGCCATCAGAGGTATTCTTCAGTTATTTACCACATTTTTTACCACTACATTATGTTGAAGGTTCTTACGATGTCTGTCTTTCTGATTACATTACCCATCTATACTTGAATGCTGTCTAGTTCATTCATTAGGCCCTTAGCATATTCTCCAGAGGTTTAAAAAAAATTCCAAAATCATATCTTTGTCTGGTTCTGAAGCTTGCTCTGTTGACACAAATTATATTTTTTTCTTTTTTTGGATTTTAGTATGCCTTGCAATTTTTTCCCTTTATTCTCATGCATGAAGCACCCACTAAAAGTGACTGCTGTTAGTATAGCTTTAGTAATGCGGTGATGAGGTGACAGGGCAGGTGATGCTCTCTTAGTCTCTTTAGGCTACTATAACAAAATACTTTAGACTGAGTAATTCATAAACAACAGAGATATTGCTCACAGATCTGGAGGCTGGAAAGTCCAAGACTAAAGGGGCAGGATATTTAGTGTTTGGTGAAGGTCAAACATTCAGACACTCGCAACGACTATAGTGACAGCAGCAGTCTTCAGGAATCCTATGTGAGGGACAAACACTCAGAAGCCAGCTGGAGTGTTCCAGAATCCTATGTGAGGAACAATCAGACCACAGCAGGAATGTTCTGGAATCCTATGTGAGGGGCAAACATTCAGACCACAGCAGGAGTGCTCTGTAATCCTATGTGAGGGACAAACATTTCAAAACCTCGTAGCAGTGTGCTGGAATGTTATGTCAGGGACAGACATTTAGACCCTCGCAGCAGTGTTCTAGAATCTCATCTGCAGGACAAACATTCAGACACTCGCAGCAGTGTTCTGGAATTCTATGTGAGGGACATTCAAACCCCAACAGCAGTGTTCTAGAATCCTATGTGAGGGACAGACGTTCAGACCCCAGCAGCAGTGTTCTGGAATCCTATGTGAGGTACAAACATTCAGATACCAGCAGAAGTGTTCTGGAATCCTATGTGAGGGACAAACATTCAGACCCTCGTAGCACTGTTCTGGAATCCTATGTGAATGGCAAAAATTCAGACCACGGCAACAATGCTCAGGAATCCTATGTGAGGGACAAACATTCAGACCCTCCTAGCAGTGTTCTGGAATCTTATGTGAGGGACAAATATTCAAACCACAGCAGCAGTGTTCTGGAATCCTATGTGAAGGACAAACTTTCAGACCACAGCAGGAGAGTTCTGGAATCCTATGTGAGGGACAAACTTTCAGACAAAAGCAGGAGTGTTCTTAAATCCTATATGAAGGACAAATATTCAGACCCCAGGAACACTGTTCTGAAATCCTATGATAAGGGCAAACATTCAGACCCCAACATGAATGTTCTGGAATCCTATGTGAGGGACAAGCATTAAGACCATAGCAGGAGTATTCTGGAATCCTATGTGAGGGACAAACATTCAGACCCTTGTAGCAGTGTTCTGGAATCCTATGTGATTAACAAACATTGAGACCACAGCAGGAGTGCTCTGGAATCCTATGTGAGGGACAAACATTCAGACGCCAGAAGGAGTGTTCTGGAATCCTATGTGAAGGACAGACATTTAGACCCTCGAAGCAGTGTTCTGCAGTCTTAAGTGAGGAACAAAAATTCAGACCCTAGTAACAGTGTTCTGGAATCCTTTTTTGAGGGACAGACATTGAGACCTCAGCAGCAGTGGTCTGGTATCCTATGTGAGGGACAAACATTCACTCCCCAGCAACAGTGTTCTGTAATCGTATGTGAGGGACAAGCATTCAGACCCCAGCAGCAGTGTTCTGGAATCTTATGTGAGGGACAAACATTGAGACCCTCGTAGCAGTGTTCTGGAATCCTACGTGAGACACAAACATTCGTACCACAGCAGAAGTGTTCTGGAATCTTATGTGAGGGACAACCATTCAGACCACAGCAGGAGTGTTCTGGAATCCTATGTGAGGGACAACCATTCAGACCACAGCAGGAGTGTTCTGGAATCCTATGTGAGGGACAAATATTCAGACCCTCATGGCAGTGTTCTGGAATCCTTTGTGAGGGACAAACATTCACACCCCAGCAACACTGTTCTGTAATCGTATGTGAGGGACAAGCATTCAGACCCCAGCAGCAGTGTTCTGGAATCTTACGTGAGGGGCAAACATTGAGACCCTCGTAGCAGTGTTCTGGAATCCTACGTGAGACACAAACATTCGTACCACAGCAGAAGTGTTCCGGAATCTTATGTGAGGGACAACCATTCAGATCACAGCAGGAGTGTTCTGGAATCCTTTGTGAGGGACAACCATTCAGACCACAGCAGGTGTGTTCTGGAATCCTATGTGAGGGACAAATATTCAGACCCTCATAGCAGTGTTCTGGAATCCTTTGTGAGGGACAAACATTCAGACCCCAGCTGGAGGGTTCTGGAATCCTGTGTGAGGGACCAACATTCAGACCCTCGTAGCAGTGTTCTGGAATGCTATGTGAAAGACAACCATTCAGACCCTCATAGCAATGTTCTGGAATCCTATGTCAGGGACATTCAGAGCCCAGCCGCAGTGTTCTGGAATCCTATGTGACAGACAAACATTCAGACCACAGCAGGAGCGTTCTGGAATCCTATGTGACGGACAAACGTTCAGACCATAGCAGTAGTGTTCTGCAATCCAATGTGAGGGACAAACATTCAGAGCCCAGCAGCAGTGTTCAGGAATCCTATGTGAGGGACCAACAATCAGACCCTCGTAGCAGCGTTCTGAAATCCTATGTGAGGGACAAACATTCAGAACCCAGCCGCAGTGTTCTGGAATCCTATGTGACAGAAAAACATTCCGACCACAGCAGCAGTGTTCTGGAATCCTATGTGCGGTACAAACTTTCAGACCACAGCAGGAGAGTTCTGGAATCCTATGTGAGGGACAAACTTTCAGACCCCAGGAGCAGTGTTCTGAAATCCTATGTTAAGGGCAAGCATTTACATCCCAGCGTGAATGTTCTCGAATCCTAGGTAAGGGACAAACATTCAGACCACAGCAGGAGTGTTCTCGAATCCTATGTGAGGAACAAACATTCAGACCACAGAAGGAGTGTTCTGGAATACTATGTGAGGGACATTCATACCCTCTTAGGAGTGTTCTGGAGTCCTATGTGATGAACAAACTTTCAGACCACAGCAGGAGTGTTCTGGAATCCTATGTGAGGGTCAAACATTCAGACCCCAGCAGTAGTGTTCTGGAATCCTATGTGAGGGCAAACATTCAGACCCACGTGGCAGTGTTCTGGAATCCTATGTGAGGGACAAACATTCAGAACCTCGTAGCAGTGTCCTGAAATCTTATGTGAGGGAGAGACATTTAGACCCTCGCAACAGTGTTCTGGTATCCCATGTGAGGGACAAACATTCAGACCCTCCCAGCCGTGTTCTGGAATTCTATGTGAGGGAAAGACATTCAAACCCCAGCAGCAGTGCTCTGGAATCTGATTTGAGGGGCAGACATTCAGACCCCAGCAGCAGTGTTCTGGAATGCTATGTGAAGGACAAACATTCAGACCACGGGAGCAGTGTTCTAGAATCCTACGTGAAGGACAAACATTAAGACTCTCATAGCAGTGTCCTGGAATCATATGTGAGGAACAACCATTCAGACACCAGCAGAAGTGTTCTGGAATCCTAGGTGTGGGAAAAACATTCAGAACCTAGTAGCAGTGTTCTGGAATCCTATGTGAGGGACATACATTCAGACCACGGCAGCAGTGTTCTGGAATGGTATGTGAAGGACAAACATTCAGACCCTTGTAGCAGTGTTCCGGAATTCTATGTGAGGGACAAACATTCAGACCACAGCAGCAGTGTTCTGGAATCCTATATGACGGACCAACATTCAGACCCTTGCAACAGTGTTCTGGAATACTAGGTGAGGGAGAAATAGTCACACCCTTGTAGCAGTGTTCTGGAATTCTATGTGACTGACAAACATTCAGACTCCAGCAGCAGTGTTCTGTAATCCTATGTGAGCGACAAACATTCAGACCCCAAGGGCAGTGTTCTGAAATCCTATGTTAAGGGAAATATTGAGACCCCAGCATGAATGTTCTGGAATCCTATGTGAGGGACAAACATTCAGACCACGGCAGGAGTATTCTGGAATCCTATGTGAGGAACAAACATTCAGACCACAGCAGAAGTGTTCTGGAATCCTATATGAGGGATAAGCATTCAGACCCTCGTAGCAGTGTTCTGGAATCCTATGTGAGGGAGAAGCATTCAGAGCACAGCAGGAGTGCTCTGGAATCCTATGTTAGGGACAAACATTCAGAACCTCGTAACATTGTTCGGGAATCCTGTGTGAGGGACAGACATTTAGACACTCGCAGCAGTGTTCTGGAATCCCATGTGAGGGTCAAACATTCAGATCCTCACAGCAGTGTTCTGGAATTCTATGTGAGTGACAACCATTCAGACTCCAGCAGCAGTGTTCTGTATTCCTATGTGAAGGACAAACATTCAGAATCCAGGAGCAGTGTTTTGAAATCATATGTTAAGGGCAAACATACAGACCCTAGCATCAATGTTCTAGAATCATATGTGAGGGACAGACATTCAGACCCTCGCAGCAGTGTTCTGGAATCCTAGATGGGGGACAAACATTCAGACCCCAGCAGCAGGCTTCTGGAATCCTATGTGGGGGACAAACATTCAGACAATGGCAGCAGTGTTCTGGAATCCTATGTGAGGGACAAACACTCAGAGCCTTGTAGCAGTGTTCTGGAATCCTATGTGAGTGAGAGTGCCTGGAGCCTACCCAACCTGACGCCCCCAAAGCCTTCACAGGGTCTGACCTCCCAGCATGCACCTGCCTCTCCCTGAACCCCAACTGCCCACCCTGCCTTTTCCCTGGCCTCCTCCATCCTGTGCAGCCCATAGACTGTGACCATCTCTCCAGCCACTCTGGCCCTTCCTTTACCTTTGTCCTGTCAGAATCTCTGAGCAGGATCTCCCAGGTCCATCCAAATACGTGCTTTGTCCACTTTTGACTAGGCCCTTGGGCATCACTGGGCTATCCCAGCTGTCCACAGGGCCTTCAATAATGCACATTGCACCTGGCTTATCCAAGCAGTGCTCAGCAGCCCACATTGACCAGGTCCCTGCTGACCAGACCCCGCACATCAGGTCCTCCCTGATGACACCCTCACTGATTAGACCCTCATGACCAGGCCCCACTAACAAGGCCCCCACTGCCAGGCACACAATGACAAGGACTCCACCGACCAGGACCTTACTGACAAGGCCTCACGGACCAAGTCCTTACTGACAAGTCCTCACTGAGTAGGTCATTATTGACAAGGCCTCACTGATCAAGTTCCACTGATCATGACCTCATTCCCTGGCCCCAAAGATGAGGCCCCACTGACCAGACCTCCAGGGAACAGGTTGCCACTGATCAGGCCCCTAATAACCAGGCCTAAGATCACCAGATGCCCCTGACTGGGACCCTAGTGAGTAGACCCCACTGAACTGGCACCAAATGCTGAGATCCCCGCTGACCAGGTCACCCTGTAGACCAGTGCTGCAAAAGTCACCACTGACCAAGTCGTCTCTGACCAGGACGCTACAGATTAGGTCCCGCTGACAAGGCTGCCCTGACCAGGGCCCCACTGACAAGGGCCTCACTGATGAGGACATGCCCACCAGGGTCTGCTGACTAGGTCCCATGTGCCCAGTCCTCCACTGAATAGCACCCCTTGACCTGGTCACCAGTGCCCCAGCCCATGCTGACCAGGCCAGCACTAAGCCCCAGCTGACCAGGTCTCCACTGATCAAGCCCCACAGCCCAGGTTTGCACTGACCAGACACCAAACAACTGGCAGCCAATAGGTCCCCACTCACCAAAACCCCACTACTAGACCCCACTAATGAGACCCTCTCTAAGCAGACCCCTGCTGACCACGATCCCACTAAATAGTCCTCACTGACCTAGGTCCACTGACCAGGCCCACACTGATCAGGTCCCTCCTAACCACACCGGAAATCCAAGCGGCAATGACATGTTTCATATGGCAGAAGTTGGAACAAGACAGAGAGAGGAAAGAGGTTCCACAGCCTTTTAAACTACTAGATCTCATGAGAACTCACTCACTATCAGGAGGATGGCATTAAGGGCTTGGTGCTTTGCCATTTGTGAAGGATCCACTCCCACTCCTTTATGATTAAAGCTTTTTCCACCTAGGCCCCGACTCTAACATTAGGGAGTGTACTTTCACATGAGTTTTGGAAGGGGCATAGAGAAAAACCGTATTATTCTGTCCCTGACCCCACAAATCTCATGTCCTTCTCACATTGCAAAATACAGTCATGCCTTGCCAGCAGTCTCCCAAAGTCTTAACTCATTTCAGCATTAACTCAAAGTTACAAAGTCCAAAGTCTCATCTGGGTCAAGGCTACATTCTCTTTTGCCTACGAGTCTCTGAAATAAAAAGCAAGTTCACTGTGTCTAAGGTACAATGATGGTACAGGCATTGTGTAAGCTTTCTATATCCAAAAGAGAGACATTTTCCAGAAAGCTTCTTATTTTTATCTGAGACCCCCTCAGCCTGGCCTTCACTGTCCATGTTTTTGTCAGCATTCTTGTCACAGCCATTTAACCAGTCTCTAAGATGGTCCAAAAATGTTCTCATCTGTCTGTCTTCTTTGGAGCCCTCCAAACTCTTCCAACCTCTACCCATTACCCAGTTCCGAAGTTGCTTCCACATTTTCAGGTATCTTTATAGGAATGCTCCAGTCCTCATTTGCCATTTTTGGTAAGATTTATTTTGAAAAAGAGGTTTAATTGGCTCATGGTTCTGCAGAGTGGACAGGAAGCTTAGTGCTTCTGCTTCTGGGGGGCCTCAGAAATCTTTCAATCATTGTGCAAGGTAATGAAAGAGTGAATTGTCTCACATGGCAAGAGGAAATCACGGAGAGTAGGGAGTGATATAGAGTTTTCAGTGGCCAGATCTCACGAGAAGTCACTCATGATTGTGAGGACAGTACCAAGGGGATGGTGCTGAACCACTCATGAGAAATTTGCCTTCATGATTCAATCACCTTATACCAGGATCCACCTCCAACATTAGGAAGCATAACTCAACATGAGATTTGGTGGGGACACATATTCGAATTGCCTCATCAGTCTTTGAGTATAAAGACATCCATAGCAGGCTTTATCCAGCCAGCTTCTTTGGGGTTCTTTACAGGGTTTCTGGTCTATAGCATATCCACTAAAATATTCCTACTTCAAAAGGCAATAAAGTAAGTGGTATTATCATTCTTCAAAAAGTTATAATGGTAGTGTAGGCATTCATAGTATGATTTAGTTCATTTGCTACTGTTTCTATTCTATCACCATATTAACACTTTCCTACACAAGTCTATATTCACCTGGGTTTCAGTTGAGCACAAAGTCATCCTTGTACTACCACCGATAGCTGGCACCAGCCCTTTGATACTGTTATCATTCTGCTGTAGAAAGTACCCGTGCACTGGAAAAAGTCCACACTCGAATAGCTAGTCATTCAACACTATCAAATTTTAGGTGACTTTTTGAAAAAATAGTATCTCTTGTTGCAAGAAATGTTCCATCTGTGATTTCAAGTCTCTCGCTTGAGTGGATTGGATAGAAGTGGTGAATTTCAGCCAAAGTGGCCAAAGAAATCCTGTTCCTGTGATAATGATGCCATCAGCCTCTGTACCTCTGTCTTCCCTTCTGCCACATGTTGCCTGTTCTCCGTGACTGTCGTAAGAGCTTCCTTGTATATGAGGATGATGTCCAGGATGTTGGTCTGGTGTCCCTGAGACAGCACTAACAGGTCCATGGCTGGGTCCAGGTCCTTCCTGGACGGATTGGCAAGGAGCTCACTGATGTTCTTGAAGGCATCTCTGGTGAAGTGGATGGCCTAGTCAAGTTCCAAGGCCTGGCTGAGGCCGAAGAAAAACTGGCCGCCTTCTGAAGCTCTTTCTAAAAGCCTGTCACTGTCATCTGCTTGCATGTCAACTCATTGGCTGTGAGGTTGAGCTGAGTGGCCTGTGTCCATCTTCTTGGGGAAGTATTTGAAGCCATCAATCTTGCTCTCCCACCCCTAAAGGTTGATGGTCACCACCTGGGGGTGTGCTGAGGGTCAGAAAGAAGCCAGCACTCACCATCTCATCCTTCTCAGCCTTCCTCTTGCACTCTCTCCAGGCTGTCTCTTCAGTGCTGGTGGGATATATCAGAAAGTGATGGAAGATGTGGCACTGTGCCCACACCCAGAAGCTGGCCATGTGGTTGGCTCATCCACCAGAATGGATGCTCTGGTTGCTCTTTGAACCAGCTTGGCCTTGCCTGGCATGTACAGGCCCCAGGTACAGACACGTTGCTCTGAGTGAACTTGTCCTGCCTTGGGCCAAATTCTGTCAGGCCAGGGTCACAAAAGGCCGAGTTCCACGGGTGGTAATCCTGGCTGCTTTCTGCACTTCAACATAAAGACCTACTGAAGATGGCCTGTGGTCTGCCTCTTTGCAACCAAGAAGCCCGCAGTGCCATATGAGCCCTGAGGCATGGACTGGAGCCCCCAAGGCAGCGCACACGCTGCTCCTGAGCCTGCTGCTCATTTTCTCTGTGTGGCTCCATTTGTGTCACAGTTGTTGCACTGACTACTGCATACTGAGGAAGGCCAGGCTGGCTCAAAAAGCAACCGGCCACCTCTGCAAGGGTGTGCCTGGAGCTGGTGGACCAGCCACCAACCTGACTTGCTGCCGGTCGGGTTACATCAGTTCTTCTACCCTACAGGTAGGGCCACAGTGCTATCTGCTTTTCCTTAGGCCTCTGCTCCATCAGCCATCAGGAGGCAGCCCCTCAGGCTGTAGGAATCTGGCCATCCCTGCTTCCTTGAGTGGGTGAGGTTGGTGGTTGCTCCACCTGCTCCAGGCACACCCTTGCAGAGGTGGCTGCTTGCTCTTTGATCCAGCTTGGCCTTGCCTGGCATGCACAGGCCCCAGCTACCTATATGCCGTTCCAAGTCAGCTTGTAGTGTGTTGGGCCAAATTCTACCTCTGGCCAGGGCCACAGAAGGCCGAGTCCCCTGGGTGCTAATCCTGGCTGCTTTCTGCACTTGAACATAAAGTCCTCCTCAAGACCGTCTGTGGTCTGCCTCTTGGCGACCAAGAAGCCTACAGTGCCATACGAGCCCTGAGGCATGGACTGGAGCCACAAAGGCAGTGCACGCCCCATTCCTGAGCCTGCTGATCATTTCCTCTTTATGGCTCCATTTGTTGTACACTTGTTGCAGTGAGGCTTGTGCATGCCAGGCAAGGCCAAGCTGGCTCAAAGAGCAAGCAGCCACCTCTGCAAGGTGTGCCAGGAGCAGGTGGACCAGCCGCCAACCTCACTCACTGTCAGACGTGGTACATCAGTTCTTCTACCCTAAAGGTGGGGCCGAGAAGTAGACCACAGGCCATCTTGAGGAGGACTTTATGTTCAAGTGCAGAAAGCAGGCAGGATTACCACCCAGGGGACTCAGCCTTCTGTGGCCCACAGTGCCATATGAACCCCGAGGCATGGACCGGTGCCAACTGCTTTATACAAAAATTAACTTAAGATAGATTAAAGAGTTAAACATGCCACCTGCTTTTCCTCAGGCCTCTGCTCCATCAGCCATCAGGAGGCAGCCACTCAGGCTGTGGAAACCTGGCCATCCTGGCTTCCTTCAGTGTGTGAGGTTGGTGGCTGGTCCACCTGCTCCAGGCACACCCTTGCAGAGGTGGCTGGTTGCTCTTTGAGCCAGCTTGGCCTTGACTGGCATGCACAGGCCCCAGGTACTGACACGTTGCTCTGAGTGAGCTTGTCCTGCCTTGGGCCAAACTCTGTCAGGCCAGGGTCACAAAAGGCCGAGTCCCACGGGTGGTAATCCTGGCTGCTTTCTGCACTTCAAAATAAAGGCCTCCTGAAGATGGCCTGTGGTCTGCCTCTTTGCACCCAAGAAGCCCGCAGTGTCATATGAGCCCTGAGGCATGGACTGGAGCCCCCAAGGCAGCGCACACCCTGCTCCTGAGCCTGCTGCTCATTTTCTCTGTATGGCTCCATTTGTGTCACAGTTGTTGCACTGACTTGTGCATGCTGGGCAAAGCCAAGCTGGCTCAAAAAGGAACCAGCCACGTTTGCAAGGGTGTGGCTGGAGTGATTGGACTAGCCATCAACGTCACCCACTCAAGGAAGCAAGGAATGCGTGTTTGTACCATGCATTTCATTACAGGTACATTTCCCCTGAGGTTGTTGGCCTAGGTTTCTTCTAGATTTTTTATTGTTTTAGGTCTTGCATTTAACTCTTTCATCCATATTACTTAATTTTTGTTTAAGGTGTATGGGTGTGGCCCAGTTTCAGTTTTCTGCATAAGGCTAGCCAGTTTTCCCAAGATCATTTATTAAATAGGGTATCCTTTACCCATTGCTTGTTTTTGTCAGGTTTGTCAAAGATCAGATGCTTTTAGATGTGTGGTGTCATTTCTGAGGCCTCTGTTCTGTTCCATTGGTCTATAGATCTGATTTGGTACCAGCCCCATGCTGTTTTGGTTACTGTAGTCTTGTAGAATAATTTGAAGTCAGGTACTGTGATGCCTCTAGCTTTGTTGTTTTGCTTAGGATTGTCTTGGCTATGTGGGCTCTTTTATGGTTCCATATGAAATTTAAAGTAGTTTTTCTAATTCTATGAAGAAAGTCAATGGTAGCTTAATGAGGATAGCAATAAATCTATAAATTACTGTGGGTGGTATAGCACTCAGGCACATAAATGTCCTTGTGTTAGGCAATACCATTCAGGACAGAGCCATAGGCAGAGACTTCATCACCAGAACACAAAAAGCAATGGCAACAAAAGCCAAAATTGACAAATGGGATCTAACTAAACTAAACAGTATCTGCAGTGCAAAAGAAACTATTATCAGAGTGAACAGGCAACCCAGAGAATGGGAGAAAATTGTTGCAATCTATCCATCTGACAAAGGGCTAATATGCAGAATCTACAAAGAACAAACTTACAAGAAAAAAAAAACAAACAACCCCATCAAAAAGTGGACAAAGGATATGAACAGACACTTACCAAAGAAGACATTTATACAGCCAACGAACATGTGAAGCAAAGCACATCATCACTGGTCATTAGAGAAATGGAAATCAAAACCACAATGAGATACAATCTCACAGCACTTAGAATGGCTATCGTTAAAAAATCAGGGAACAACAGATGCTGGACAGGATGTGGAGAAATAGGAACGCTTTTACACAGTTGGTGGGAATATAAATTAGTTCAACCATTGTGGAAGACAGTGTGACAATTCCTCAAGGATCTACAACTAGAAATATCATTTGACCCAGCAATCCCATTACTGGGTAAATACCCCCAAAATTATAAATCATTCTAATATAAAGACACATGCACCTGTCTGTTTATGGCGGCACTTTTCACAAAACCAAAGACTTGGAACCAACCCAAATGCCCACCAATGATAGACTGGATAAAGAAAATGTGGCATATATACACCATGGAATACTATGTAGCCATAAAAAGGATGAATCCACGTCCTTCGCTGGGACATGAATGAAGCTGGAAAGCATCATTCTCAGCAAACTAACACAAGAACAGAAAACCAAACACCACATGTTCTCACTCATAACTTGGAGTTGAACAATGGGAACACATGGACACAGCAAGGGGAACATCACACACCAGGGCCTGTCAGCGTGGGGGGCTAGGAGAGGGATGGCATTAGGAGAAATAACTAATGTAGATCATGGGTTGATGGATGCAGCAAGCCGCCATGGCATGTGTATACCTATGTAACAAACCTGCATGTTCTGCACATGTACCCCAGAACTTAAAGTATAATTTAAAAAAAAAGAAATTTGCTTTAAATTAAGCTTTTAATCATGGAACCTGTAAAGAAACCCCTTTTGAATCTTTTACTACCACATCATAGCTGGGACAAACTGCTGACGTTTTAAAAGTAACACAAATATCAAACAGAAAGAACTAGACTTAGGAACCAAACTCAGGTTTCTGTAGTGAACAGGGCAGAATCTTCACATTGGGTCACCACCACTACTCCTTCAGTTTGGCCTTGGCTAGCAAAAGGATGACATTTTTATGTAGATGAGACCAGTTACGTAAAAAAAAAGGTTTAAAAAATAATTTCTGCTAACTGGAATGCTTTTTGTTGTTGTTTATTTGTTTGTTTTTTTGCAGCCATAGGAGTTTTAGCCAATTCAGAGGCCTTGCTCCCCACAATTTGGAACATTCCTTTGGATTTGACCAAGTCAGGAAGAGATGGGAGAAAAGTGAAACAACAACAATAAAACCCCAAGCATAAACAAACAAAAAGAGTTAAGCAAAACAACAACTGCACAATTCATATGATTACTGAGTGTTCTAATGGTAAGGAGAGTGGTGAAGCCATGCGTGGTGATGTAGAATACTTCCACATCTCTGGTGAGGAGCTGCCCCTTGGGTCTGAGTTTCTGGGAGGGGAGAGGGAGAAGCTGGGTGAGGCAGGCATGAATCTTGAGGAGTCAGGGCTGGGGGACCGCTCATATTCTCCCGAGACCTGTGAGTCTCTGGGGGACTCCTGGGTGCATGGGGCTGACTCCCACAGGAACCTGGGGATGGCTGGAGAGTAACTGGGAGCCACAGGAGAGTCCCTGAGGCCTGGGGGTGAAGAGATGAAAGACACAGGGGTGGAGCACCGTGAGGCTCATGAGTTTGTAGGTGATTCCTGGGTGTGGGGGGCTGACTCCAGCTGAAATCTGGGGTTGTTTGGAGAGTAGCTGGGAGACAAAGGAGACCCCCCAAGAGCTGGGGGTGAGCTGCTGGCTGATGGCAGTAAGAGCATGTGGTATATTATTGATGAACGTGGGGACTCTGAGGAATCCTCAGAGGAGGACACGGGAGAGCCCAATGTCTTCATTGATTGCCCATCACGGTGAGGACAGGGAAATGGGAGCTTGTGGGATTCTGGTGATGACAGAGGTGAGTGTGGTGAAGCCCTAGGGGATGGTGAATGGTAGCTCCGGATCCCTGGTGAGGAGCTTCCCCTTAAGCAAGAGATTCTGAGAGGGGAGAGGAAGAAGCTGGGTGAGGCTCGCATGGACCTTGGGGAGTCCGGGCTGGGGGACCGTTCATAAGAAGAGCCAGACAAGACCCTACTGTTCTTAGGTGCAGACATGATTAGGAAACCTGCAGCTCCCAGGGGCCCGTACCAATTTTCTAACTCGAAGAAGGAAGGAGTGTGTGTGTGCGCGCGTGTGTGTGTGTGTGTGTGTTTGTGTGTGCGGTGTGTGTTTGTGTGTGTGCGGTGTGAGGTATGTGCCCCTTAAGAAAATGGAAATCAACCAACCAATGAGACAGACAGACAGACAGAGATTCACTTGCCCACGTGTTCTGTCCTGTCCTCTGAATCCGCTTCCAAGTCGCAAGACGCTGTGAGCTCCAAGTCCACGCAGAGTCCGCCAAACGCTCCGGCCGCTGATCCGCTCCGCGAAGATCTGAGTACAGGCCAGCCAGGGTGGGTTTAAATAGCCTCGGGCGCAGCCTAGCAGCGGAAAGGGCGGAGCTTCACTCCTCCTTTCCATCAGTCACCCCCAACTTTCCCAGGCTACACCTGGTAGGAAACTGTTCTCCTGCTTTGATTTCATGCGCCACCTTTGGGACAATCTAAGAACTTACAAGTTTTCTTGGCCAGATATATTAGGAATTGTATGCACTGAAACACTGAAAACCAACTAGTGGTTCTGTGGTTCCCACGTTGTGGTTTTGACACCAGCAGCATCCTTGCCACAATCAAACCCCGGAGATGCACAGATCTGTGTTGTAACAAGACCTCCCCCTGACTCTGATGCATGGCAGTTTAAGAAGTCTTTCCGTGTAAACGAAAAGACTTTGAAGAAAAGGTGGAGATATGCGTTGTATAAACATTCTTTTGCTCTGGAACCACGTAGAGACTTGGGAGCCAGTTGGGTGGAGCATTCGTTGGATGAGGGTGCTCGGGTTAGGAATATCAAGGTGTGGCTCCAGATAATCCAATCATGTAATTAAGATTCCAGTTATGCTCATCTGTTTTAAAATTCCGTTTGGGTAAATTCTTTGAGTCAGACTGAGAATGGCAAAGCCTCAACCCCAATTTCCAGGGAGGGTTGAGAGCCTCGGGTGGAGCTGATCACCAATAGCCTATGGTTTAACCCATCATGACTATAGAAGGAGATCTCCATAAAAACCCAAAAGGACTGGGTTCAGAGGGCTTCTGGATAACACTTCCTGGAAGGTAGTGCGCCCCTCCCCACATGCCGGGCCCCACATTTATTTCTGAACTTTTTGCAATGTCCGCTAAAATACAACGGCAAATGTAAGTGTTTACCTGCGTGCTGTGAGCTCTTCCAGCAAATGAATGCAACTAAATCTGGGAGTGGTGGCAACCTGATTTATAGCCAGTTGCTGAGAAGCACAGGTAAAACAACGTGGGGCTTCCCATTGTTATTAGTGTGGGAGGCCTGTCTGGCGGGACTCGGCCCTTTGGAATCTAATGGTATGTCCCTGTAGATAGCGTCACCATTGAATTAGAAGACACACATATGTTGAGAATAATCTCTCTGGTCATTTGCTGCATGTCTTATTTACAATACATAATCAAATTTTTTATTCTGACCTTATGGCACCTGGGTTGAGAACCCATGATTTGAACCAAACATTGGTCTGTCACTTTCTGAGTTTGAAACTTTATTTTGCCTTTAGCGTTTTGTTACTGCTTTTTCGTTTTCTTTTATTTCGTTTCGTTTCTAAGTTCGGGGTATATGTGCAGGATGTGCAGATTTGTTACTAAGGTAAACGTGCGCCATGGTGGTTTGCTGCACCTGTCAACCCATCACCTAGGTATTAAGCCCAGCATGCAGTAGCTGTTTTTCTTAACGCTCTGCCTCCCGAAAGGCCCCAGTGTGTGTTGTTCCCCTTCCTGTGTCCATGTGATCTCATTTTTCAGCTCCCATTATAAGTGAGAATGTGGTGTTTGGTTTTCTTTCCCTGGATTAGTTTGCTGAGGATAATGACCTCACATCACCAGTGTTTTTGTTTTTCAGTATAAAGAGTAGTATTTTATTGAATAAGATTTGCTCACAGGAAAATAAGCTTAAATCTACAATGAATGCCAGACTCTACAGCAGAAAGCAATTTCCTCACTTTTCCACACACAATGGTTCCTACTAAGCGAAAATAAGCCATAAAATTTCATTCACAAATGTACTACTCTGTCTCAAAACATCTCACATAATCATGCACTGTACTAAAGCCTTTAGATCAGTTCTTCCGTCAGGTTAAAGAAGTATTGATTGATGGGCAATCAATGAAGATATTGGGCTCTCCCGTGTCCTCCTCTGAGGATTCCTCAGATCCCCCACGTTCATCAATAATATACCACATGCTCTTACTGCCATCACCCAGCAGCTCACCCCCAGCTCTCGGGGGGTCTCCTGTGTCTCCCAGCTACTCTCCAAACAACCCCAGATTTCAGCTGGAGTCAGTCCCCCACACCCAGGAATCACTTACAAACTCACGAGCCTCACGGTGCTCCACCCCTGTGTCTTTCATCTCTTCACCCCCAGGCCTCAGGGACTCTCTTGTGGCTCCCAGTTACTCTCCAGCCATCCCCAGGTTCCTGCGGGAGTCAGTCCCATGCACCCAGGAGTCCCCCAGAGACTCACAGGTCTCGGGAGAATATGAGCGGTCCCCCAGCCCTGACTCCTCAAGATTCATGCCTGCCTCACCCAGCTTCTCCCTCTCCCCTCCCAGAAACTCAGACCCAAGGGGCAGCTCCTCACCAGAGATGTGGAAGTACTCTACATCACCCCGCAGGGCTTCACCACTCTCACATCCATCATCAACAGAATTCCACAGCTTTACGTTTCCCTTTCCTAACCAAGCAGGACAGTCACTCATGTCATTGTGTTCTCCCGTGTCCTCCTCTGGAGATTCTTCACAGTCACCTCATTCATCAATAATATACCATATGTTCTTACTGCCATCATCCAGCAGCTCACCCCCAGCCACCCATGAGTCTCCTGTCTGTCCCAGCTATTCTCCAACTACGCCCAGATTTCAGCAGGAGTCTCTACCCCACACCCCAGAAACACCTACAAACTCACAGACCTCAGTGAGATCCTCGCCAGTCTCTCTCACGTCTTCACCCCCAGCCCTTACGGACCCTCCAGTCTGTCCCAGCTACTCTCCAACCACGCCCACATTTCAGCGCGGGTCAGTTCCAGGAACCCAGGGATCACCACCAAGCCCACCACTTTCACTGAATTACTCCCCAGTCTCTAGTACGTCTTTATCTCCAACCCTCAGGGAGTCGCCTGTCTGTCCCAGCTACTCTCCAAACACGCCCACACTTCAGCGGGAGTCCGTTGCAGGCACCCAGAAATCACCACCAAACTCACCAATTTCACTGCGTTACTCCCCAGTCTCTCTCATGTCTTCACCATCCCTCAGGGACCCTCCCGTCTGTCCCAGCTACTCTCCAACCACGCCCACATTTCAGCTGGAGTCAGTTCCAGGCACCCCGGAATCACCACCAAACTCACCAATTTCACTCAGTTACTCCTCAGTCTCTAGCACGTCTTTATCTCCAACCCTCAGGGACTCTCCTGTGTGTCCCAGCTACTCTCCAACCACGCCCACACTTCAGCGGGAGTCCGTTCCAGGCACCCAGGAATCACCACCAAACTCACCAATTTCACTCAATTACTCTCCAGTCTCTCTCATGTCTTCACCAGCCCTCAGGGACTCTCCTGGGGGTCCCAGCTACTCTCCAACCACGCCCACATTTCAGCTGCAGTCAGTTCCAGGCACCCCGGAGTCACCACCAAACTCACCAGTTTCACTGAGTTACTCCGCGGTCTCTCTCATGTCTTCACCCCCAGCCCTCAGGGACTCTCCTGTGTGTCCCAGCTACTCTCCTACCATGCCCAGATTTCAGCGGGAGTCAGTTCCAGGCACCCAGGTATCACCTACAAACTCAGCAGTTTCACTGAGTTACTCCCCAGTCTCTCTCATGTCTTCACCCCCAGCCCCCTGGGACTCTCCTGTCTGTCCCAGCTCCTCTCCCACCACGCCCAGATTTCAGCGGGAGTCAGCCTCCCACACTCCGGAATCACCTACAGACTCACAGACTTCACTGAGGTCCTCCCTGGTCTCTCTCAGGTCTTTGCCCTCAGCCCACAGGGACTCTTGTGTCTCTTTCAGCTACTGTCAAAACTTCTCTAGATTCCAGCTGGAGTCAGTTCCAGGCACCCACGATACACCACCGAACTCACGAATTTCACTGACTTACTCCCCAGTCTCCCTCATGTTCTCACCCCCAGCCCTCAGGGACTCTTCTGTCTCTCTCAGCTACTCTCCAACCATCTCCAGATTTCACCTGGAGTCAGCTTCCCGCACCCAGGAATCACCTACAAACTCACGGACCTTACTGCAACCCTCCCCCATTTCTTTCACCTCTTCACCCCCTGCCTTCAGGGACTCTCCTGGGTCTCCCAGCTTCTCTCCAGCCTTCCCCGGATTTCTGCCACAGTCAGCCCCAGGCACCCAGGACAACCCTAGACACTCACAGGCCTCACGAGACTATCTCCCTATGACCTGTACCTATACAGGGATGGCTCCCACGCATCCCTCAGTGACCCCAAACCCATCTCCACTTACACTCAGACACTCCCAGGGCCTGACAGCTACTCCCCGTTATTGTCCTTCAGTTCGAAGCCCTGGCCAATCTACTAGCCCACATGACGCAGTTACATGGCCATTTCTCCACATTTCCGGTGAGGGCCCCACAACCAGCCGCACAAGAGCCCCTCCTGCATTCCGTCCTCACACGCAGGCCTGTCCATCTACTTGCTACTGTCACACTTTTGCCAGCAGAAGAGGCCCCTGTAATGGCCGATATCACCACCCAGTCTATCCTCACCCCACAGCTGTGCAGCAGGACCCTCCTGCTGGCCCACGTGGCTGCCAGAGCCCATGCTGGCACGACGCTCCAGCAGGTCGGCGTCCCTGCGGGACACACTACCGGTGACATGGCTAGCATGACCCTCCTTCCTGGCAGTGACACTGTTGATGTGAACCCCGGTTTCACATCTGTCATTTGTAAATAGGACCATTTTCCCTTTTCGCTCTCCCTTCCATTCACAGGGCTTTTCATTCTCTCTGTTTCTGCCTCCGTTTCAGATATTTACTCACCTTTTTCTCTCTCACTATGTCTGCCGTGGTCTCCATTAGAGTGCGCCACATAAGATTCCCCCATTAAAAGTCATGAATTGAGTGGCTTTTAGTATACCTGTGGTTGTGCACATTCAATTTTAATTCGCAATCCATTGTAGAACGTCTTATCACCCCCGACCAGAGAAAAACCCTGTAGACATTAGTCACTCCTCATTCTGTCTCAAACCATCAGGGCCTGATGGGAAGGCACTTTCGTCTGTGGGGGACCCATGCCCTGCTTCTCCGTGGCGCGGTTTTTTTTTTTTCCTGCCATAGATCCCTCACCTCTCCTTCCTCAAATCTCACCTTCCCCTCTTGGGTCTTCTGTCTGCCTTGGGGTACACCTAGCGGCCCGAGGTGCACTGTGGGCTCGAACCAGGGACTCCAGTGTCCCTGAGGCCCAGCGCAAGGCCTGATGGAAAGACACTTTCGTCCGTGTGGAAGACCCAGTCCCCGCTTCTCCGTGGCAGGTTTTTTTTTTCTCTGCCCCATGTGCCTCACCTTCCCCTCTTGTGCCTTCTGCACGCTTTGGGGTACACCTAGCGACCCGGGGCACACCCTGGTCTCGAACCATGGAAGCCAGATTCCACTGGGCCAAGCTCAGTGGCTGATGGGAAGACACGTTCTTCCTCGGGGACCCAGGCTCTGCTTCTCTGTGGCGTTTTTTTTTTTTTTTTCCCCAGTTGCCTCACTTTCCCGTCATGGGCTTTCTGCCCGCCTTGAGGTACCCCTAGCCGACCCGAGGCACACCGTTGTTTTGAGGCAGGGATGCTAGGGTCTCCGGGGCCCAGTGCAGGGCTTATGGGTAGGGACGTTCGTCCATGTGGGACCCAGTCCCCACTTCTGGGCGGCACAGTTTTTTATTTTATTCTCTGCCCCAGGTGTCTCACCTTTCTCTCATGGGCCTTCTGTCTGTCTTGGGGTACCCCTAGCAGGCCGAGGCGCACGCTGGGCTCGAGCCAGGGATACCAGGGTCCCCGGGGCACAGTGCAAGCGCTGATGGGAAGACAGTTTCTTCTGTGGGGGACCCAGGCCCCGCTTATCCGAGGCACAGTTGTTGTTGTTTTTTTCTCTGCCCCACGTGCGTCACCTTCCCCTCATGGGCCTTCTGCTTGCTTTTGGGTACCCCTAGCGGCCTGAAGCACACCCTGGTCTCGAACCAGGAATGCCAGGGTCCCCTGGGCCCAGCGCAAGTGCTGATGGGAAGACACTTTCGTCCGTTGGGGACCCAGGCTCCGCTTCTTCGTGGTGCAGTTTTTTTTTTCTGCCACAGGTGCCTCACCTCTCCTTCCTCAAACCTCAACTGCCCCTCCTGGGATTTCTGCCCGCCTTGTGTTACCCCTAGCAGGCCCGAGGCGCACCCGGGGCTCGAACCGGGGTCTCCAGCGTCCACAGGGCCCAGCGCAGGGACTGATGGGAAGGCATTTTCACTCTTGGGGGACCCAGGCCCAGCTTCTCCTAGGCGCGGCTTGTTTTCTTTTTTTTTTCTGCCACAGGTTCCTCACCTCTCCTCCCTCAAACGTCAACTTCCCATCATGGGCTTTCTGTTCGACTTGGGGTACCCCTAGCGGCCCAAGGCGCTCCCTGGACTCGAACCATGGATGCCAGGGTCACCGGGGCCTAGCGCAGGCGCTGATGGGAAGGTACCTTCATCCGTGGGTACCCAGGCCCCACTTCTCAAAGCTGCGGTTTTTTTTCTCCGCCCCAGGTGCCTCACCTTCCCCTCATTGGCCTTCTGCCTGCTTTGGGGTACCACGAGCAGGCCCGAGGCGCTGCCGGATCTCCAATCAGGGTCGCCAGGTTCTCGGGGCTAGCGCAGGGGCTGATGGGAAGGCACTTTCATCAGTGGGGACCCAGGCCCGGCTTCTCCGAGGTGCTGATATATACATATATATATATATATGTATATATATATATATACATATATATATATGTATATATATATATATATATATATATATATATATTTTTTTTTTTTTTTTCTACCACAAGTGACTCACCTCTCCTCCCTTAAATCTCGCCTTCCCCTCGTGGGCTTTCTGGCTTCCTTAGGGTACCCTAGCATGCCAGAGTCTCTTCTGGTCCTTGAACTAGGGTCGCCAGAGTCCAGGGGGCCAGCGCAGGGGCTGATGAGAAGGCACTTTCGTCCGTGGGAGAACCAGGCCCCGCTTCTCTTCCGCACGTTTTTTTTTTTTTCTGCCGCAGGTGCCTCACCTCTCTTCCCTCAAACCTCACCTTTACCTCATGGGCCTTCTGCCCGCTTTGGGGTACACCTAGCGGGCCCGAGGTGCACCCAGGCCTAGAACCAGGGTCGCCTGGGTCCACGGGGCCCAGCTCAGGGACTGATGGGAAGGCACTTTTTTCCCATGGGAGACCCAGGCCCCACTTCTCCGTGGCGCGGTTTCTTTTTCTTTTCTGCCACAAGTGTCTCACCTCTCCTCCCTCACAGCTCACCTTCCTCTCATGGGCTTTCCACCGCGTTGGGGTACCCCTAGTGGCCCGAGGCTCTCCCTGAGCTCGAACCAGGGACTCTAGGTTCCCCGGGGCCCAGTGCAGGGGCTGATGGGAAGGCACTTTCATCCGTGGGGTACCCAAGCCCCACCTCTCCGCGGCGCGGGTTTCTTTTTTTTCTTTTTCTGTGACAGGTGCCTCACCTCTCCTCCCTCAAAACTCACCTTCCCCTCACGGGCTTTGTGTCCCCAAAGCCCCCCTTGGGGTGCACTTAGCGGCCGAGGCACACCCTGAGCTCGAACGAGGGACACTAGGGTCCCTGGGTCCCAGTGCAGGGACTGATGGGAAGACACTTTCGTCTGTGGGGCACCCAGGCCGTGCTTCTCCGCGGCGAAGTTTTTCTTTTTTTCTCTGCCCCAGGTGCCTCACCTTCCCCTTAGGGGCTTTCTGCCCACCTTGGGGTACCCCTACTGTCCCAAGGCGTACCCCAGGGTCAAACCAGGGACGCCAGGGTCCCCAGGGCCCAGCGAAGGGGCTGATGGGATGGCACTTTCATCCGTGGGGGACGCAGGCACTGCTTCTCGGCTGAGCGTTTTTTTTCTCTGCCTCAGGTGCCTCACCTTCCCCTCATGGACCTTTTGTTCGCTTTGTGGTACCCCAAGCTGTCCCGAGGCGCACCCTGGGCTCGAACCAGGGTCGCCAGGGTCCACCAGGCCCAGCATAGGGCCTGATGGGAAGGCACTTTCATCCGTGGGGGACCCAGGCCCCGCTTCTCTGAGACGCGGTCCTCTTTTTTTTTTTTTTTTCTCTGCCCCTGGTGCCTCACCTCTCCTCCCACAAACTTCAACTTCCACTCATGGGCCTTCTGTCCAAGTTGGGGTACCCCTAGTCGCCTGAGGCACACCCTGGGCGTGAACCAGGGATGCCCGGGTCCCTGGGGCCCAGCGCAAGGGCTGATGGGAAAAAACTTTCGTCCCCGGATGACCCAGACACCGCTTCGCGGCGCATTTTTTTTTCTTCTTTGCCCCAGGTGTCTCACCTTCCCCTCATGGGCCTTCTGCCTCTCTGCGTCTGCGCCGGCGCTGTGGGCCTCTCTGCGCCTGCGCCGGCGCTGTGGGCCTCTCTGCGCCTGCCCCGGCGCTGTGGGCCTCTCTGCGCCTTTCGCCAGCGCTGTGGGCCTCTCTGCTCCTGCGCCGGCGCTGTGCGCCTTTGCGAGGGCGGAGCTGCGTTCTTCCCAGCACAGACAAGGAGAGCATCGCCAGGGCGGAGCTGAGTTCTCCTCTGCACAGACTTCAGAGATACAGCGAAGGCGGAGCAGTGTTCTCCTCAGCACAGACCCAGGCGGGCCGGGGGCACCGCGAGGGCGGAGCTGCGTTCTGCTCAGCACAGACCCGGGGGACACCGCTAAGGCAGAGCAGCGTTCTCCTCAGCACAGACCTTTGGGGCACTGCCTCGCTTTGGGACAACTCGGGACCGCATAGACGGTGAATAAAATCCTTCCCTTTTGCAGCCCTGAATAATCAGGGTCAGAGACCAGTTAGAAGGGCTCAGTGTGGAAAAGGGAAACCAAAAGCCCCTCTGAATCCTGCCAACCGAGGTTCTCCCCAGCCAAGCCAAGGCAGCCGCAGTGCGAGATCCACACCGCAGCCTCGGAAGACAAATGCAGCATTCCTAATGCAGACATGACACCCAAAATATGACACCCCCATTGCTCATGTAACAAGCACCTGTAATGCTAATGCACTGCCTCAATACAAAAATATTAATATAAGATCCGCAATCCCCTTGCTGCTATGCAGTCCTAAGACAGAGATCATAATAATCAACATTGACATAGTACAAACGTAGTAAAGAACCTAGGGTTAAGGTTGGTGTTAGGGTTAGGGGTTAGGGGTTAAGTTTAGGGTTAGGGGTTGGAGATAGGGGTTGGGGTCAGAGTTAGGAGTTAAGAGACAACGTTTAGAGTTAGAGGTTAAGAGAGGTTAGGGGTTAGGGATAAGGGGTTAGGGTTGGATTAGTGTGAGGGTGAGGGTTGTGGTTAGGGGTTAGGCTTAGGGGTTACGGTTAAGGGTTAGGGTTAGGGGTTAGGGTTAGGGTCAGGGGTTAGTGGTCAGGTTCAGGGGTTAGGGATCAGGGTCAGGGGTTAGGGATCAGGGTCAGGTTCAGGGGTCCCACTCTTTGAGTTGTCCATTTACTCTGCTGACTGTTCCCTTTGCCATGCAAAAGCTGTTTAGTTTAATTAAGTCCCAGCTATTTATCTTTGTTTTTATTGCATTTGCATTTGGGTTCTTGGTCTTGAAATCCTTGCGTATGTCAATGTCTAGAAGGGTTTATCCAGTGTTATCTTCTAGAATTTTTATAGCTCAGGAATTAGATTTAAGTTCTTAATCCATCTTGAGTAGATTTTTGTATAAGATGAGAGATGAGAATCCAGTTTTATTCCCCTACATGTGGCTCGCCAATTATCCCAACATCATGTGTTGAAAAGGGGGTCCTTTCCCCACTTTATGTTTTTGTTTACTTTGTCGAAGATCAGTTGGCTGTAAGTATTTGGGTTAATTTCTGGGTTCTCTCTTCTGTTCCATTGGTCTATGTTCCTATTTTTAAACCAGTACGTTGGTGTTTTGGTAACAATAAGGTAAGCCTTATTGTACAGTTTGAAATCAAGTAGTGTGATACCTCCAGGTTCTTTTTGCTTAGGCTTGGTTTGGTTACATGGCTCTTTTTTGGTTCCATATTAATTTTAGAATTGTTTTTGTAATTCTGTGAAGAATGATGGTGGCATTCAGATGGGGATTGCATTGAATTTGTAGATTGCCTTTAACAGAATGGTAATTTTCACAATATTGGTTCTACCCATCCATGAGCATGGGGATGCGTTTCCATTTGTTTGTGTCATCTATGACTTCTTTTCTTTCTTGTTTTTTTTTTTTTTTCAGAGGGAGTTTCGCTCTTGTCGCTGAGGTGGGAGTGCAATGGTGTGATCTCGGCTCACTACAACTTCTGCCTCCCGGGTTCAAGCGATTCTCCTGCCTCAGCTTCCCGAGTAGCTCGGATTATAGGCGTGTGCCACCGTGCTTGGCTCCATCTATGATTTCTTTCAGTAGTGTTTTGTAATTTTCATTGTAGCTGTCCTTTGATTCCTTTGCTAGGTATATTCCTAAGTTTTGTTTTTTTGTTGTTGTTGTTTGTCGCAGCTATTGTAAAAGGGGTTGAGTTCTTGATGTGATTCTCTGCTTGGTAGCTGTTGATGTATGGAAGAGCTACGGATTTGTGTCCCTTAATCTTGTATCTGGAAACTTTGCTGAATTCTTTTATCAGTTCTAGGAAGTTTCTAGAGGAGTCCGTAGGGTTTTCTAGGCAAAAGATTATATCATCAGCAACAAGTGACAGTTTGACATCCTCTTTACCGATTTGGATTTCCTCTATTTCCTTCTTTTGTCTGATTGCTCTGGCTAGGACTTCCAGTACTATGTTGAAGAGGAGCGGTGAGAGTAGTCTCCTTGTCTTGTTCCAGTTCTCAAAGTGAATGCTTTCACCGTTTCCCCATTCAGTATTATGTTGGTTGTGGGTTTGTCATAGATGGCTTTTATTACATTAAGGTATGTCCCTTGTATGCCTATTTTGCTGAGAGCTTTAATCATAAAGCAATGCTAGATTTTGTCAAATGTTTTTTCTGTACCTGTTGATATAATCATATTAGATTTTTTTAACTCTGTTTATTTAGTGTATCACACTTATTGACTTGCATATGTGAAACTACTCCTATATCATTGGTATAAAACCCACTTGATCATGGTGGATTATTTTTTGATATGTTGTCGGATTCAGTTAGATAGTATTTTGTTAAGGATTTTGGCATCTGAGTTCATCAAGGATATTGGTCTGTAGTTTTCTTTTTTGGTTATGTCCTTCCATGGTTTTGGTATTAGGGTGATGCTGGCTTCATAGAATGAATAAGGAGGGTTTCTTCTTTCTCTGTCTTGTGGAATAGTATGAAAAGATGGGTATCATTTCTTCCTTGAATGAAAGAAGACATTCTTTGAATGTCTGGTAGAATTCTGCTGTGAATCTGTCTGGCCCTCAGCTTTTTTTGCTGGTAATTTTAAAATTACCATTTCAATCTTGCTGCTTGCTTTATTGGTCTGCTTGGGGTATCTAATTCTTCCTGATTTAAGCTAGGGGAGTTGTATTTTTCCAGGAATTTATCCAACTCTTCTAGGTTTTGTAGTTTATGTGCCAAAAGGTGTTCATAGTACCCTTGAATAATCTTTAATATTTCAGTGGTGTCAGTTGTAATATCCCCTGTTTCATTTCTTAGTGAGGTTATTTGGATTTTCTCTCTTCTTTTCTTGGTTAATCTTGCTAATGGTCTACCAATTTTATTTATCTTTTCAAATAACCAACTTTTTGTTTTATTTATGTTTTGTATTTGTTGTTGTTGTTGTTGTTGTGTCAATTTCATTTAGTTCTGCTCTGATTTTTGTTATTTCCTGTGTTTGCTGGGATTGGGTTTGGCTTGTTCCTGCTTCTCTAGTTCCCTGAGATGTGAACTTAGATTGTCTGTTTGTGCTCTTTCAGACTTTTTGATGTAGGTTTTTAGGACTACAAACTTTGCTCTTAGCAGTGCCTTTGCTGTACCCCAGAGGTCTTGATAGGTTGTGTCATCCAGTTCGAAGACATTTTTTACATTTCCATCTTGATTTCATTTTTCACCCAATGCTCATTCTGTGAGGAACAACCAAATTGTTTTCCGCAGCAAGGGCATCATTTTCTATTCCTAGCAGCCAGATCATGAGGGCTCCAACTTCTCCACCTCCTTAGCAACATTTATTTTCTCTGTCATTGTTATGAAAGCCTTACTTGTGGATGCAGAGTGGCATGAATGAAGTCAATTAACACGTTTATTACCTCACAGAATAGTCACCTTTTGGGTGCATGGGTGGGATAAGAAAACTTAACTCCATCCCCTGTGACGGAATAGTGGCCATTCCAGCTGCTCCAGGCTCCAGCAGAGGAAGACCGGGGTATGTGGCCCCACCAGGGTGACCCTCAGGCCTGGCGCGCACGCATTCCAGAGGCCACCCAAACCATGCTCTGCCATCTGGGCGCCCAAGCTGCCGTCGCCCCCTGTGTGCAGGCAGCATCTGCCTGGCAACCCCCGAGCCCGCTCGCGCTCCTAGCATCACAGAAGCAGGGCCACGTGTCCCAGTGGCTGCAGCCAAGCCAGGCATTCTGCCCTGCGGCAGCAGCTGCACAAGAGCGAGAACTGAGAACCCACCGCTCAACCCCACACGAGGTGACTGCCGAGTGCCCATATAAACGGCTCCGATCTCCCTCAGGTGGAGGAGTGGTCGGGAGGCATGGCCTGGGGGCCCTCAGGCTTGGCGCGCTGGCGATCCCAAGGCCGACCAGGCCATGCACCTCCAGCCTGCCTGGGCACCCGAGCTGCAGCCGCCTTCTGCGTGCAGGCAGCAGCCTCCAGGCAACTCCCGAGCCCGCCCACACTCCCCACATCTTGGAAGCAGGGCCAAATGTCCCTGTGGCTGTGGCCAAGCCAGGCGGTCTGTACTGCAGCAGCTGCACAGGGGCGGGAACCGACCCTCAGCCCCATCCCCGGTGGCTGCAGAGGGCCCCTGGATAGAGATCTGGAGCTCTGACAGAGGAGGAGCCGGGCCAGGGCAGGGTCTGGCAGGCTCTCAGGCCAGGGGCACCCGCGATCCAGAGGCCGCCCAGGGCATGCTTCACCACCTGGGAGCCCAGCTACAGGCGCCGGGCGACTCCCAAGCTGGCTGGCGCGCCCAGCCTCGCAGAACCGGAGCTAGATGTCGCCATGGCTGCGACCAAGCCAGGCGGTCTGCCCAGGGGCGGCTGCACCGGGGCAGGAACCGACCCTCAGCCCCATCCCCGGTGGCTGCAGACGGCCCCTGGGGCGGCCCCGATCTCTCTTCGGAGGAGGAGAGGGGCGGGAGTCACGGCCAGGCGGACCCTCAGGCGGGAAGGAGTGCGCGCCTGTGATTCCGGGACGTCCCGCGCCAGCCCAGGAGAACCCGCAAGCCAGCGGCGCCTGTTTCTCTGTGTGATTCTTTGAGGAACCACCAAACTGTTTTCCACAGCAAGTGCATCATTTTCTATTCCTAGCAGCCAGTTCATGAGGGCTCCAGTTTCTCCACCTCCTTAGCAACATTGATTTTCTGTGTCGTTGTTATGAAAGCCTTACTAGTGGATGCAAAGTGGCATCTCATTTGGGTTTTGCCTTGCATTTTATTAATGAATAATGGTGTTTAGCATCTTTTCTTTTCCTTCTTAGACATTTGTGTATCTTCTTTGGAGAAATGTCTGTTCAAGTCCTTTGCCTATTTTTTAATTGGGATCTTAGAAATTCTGTTGTTGAGTTGTGGAATATTAAGCTTTTATCAGATACACATTTTGATTTTATCAGATACATATTTTCTCACATATTATGGGTTGTCTTTTCACTTCCTTGATAGTATCCTTTGATACATAAAGGGTTTTTTATTTTGATTAAATCTAATTTTCGTGTATTTTCTTTTGTTATCTGTGCTTTTCTGTCATATTTCAAAATACACTTAAAACTCAAAGGTCATAAAGGTTTACCGTGTGTTTTCTTCTAAGAGTTACATATTTTTAGTCCTTACATTTAAGTATTTTATTAATTTAGAATTAATTTTTGTATATACTGCAAAGTAGGGGTCTAACTTCTCTCTTGTGCACTGACATCCAGTTGTTGAAGAGACTGTTCTTTCCTCCCTTGACTAGACTTGGCCACCTTGTTGAACAGTCATTGACCATATATGTGAGGACTAACTTGTAGGATCTCAAATCTGTTCTATTGTATTGGTCTGAAAGTCTATTGGTCTTATTCCAGTACCACACTCTCTTGATTACTGTAGATTTGTAGTAGGCTGTGAAACTGAAAAATGTGAGTTTTCCAATGTTCTTTTTCAAGACTGTTTTGTCTGTCAGATCCTTTGAATTTTTGTATGATTTTAGAATGAGTTTCTTTGTTTCTGCAAAAATGCCTTTGGGATTTTGATGGTATTGCATTGAATCTGTAGATTACTTTAGATGGTATTGTCATCTTAACAATATTGTCTTACAACCCGTGAACACAGAATGTCTTTCCACTTATTTCCACTCTCTTTAGTTTTTTGCAGCAATGTTTTATGTATACCACCATGGTTAGATTTATGCCTGAATAACGTATTATTTGATGTCATTATAAATGGAATTTTTAAAATGTTTTCATAGTTCTTTACAACTATATAGAAATATAGCTCATTTGCCTATGTTTGTTTGCATCCTGCCTCTTTTATTAGTTATAATCGGTTTTGTGTTTTGTTTGGAGCTTTATACCCATAAGATCATGTGTAGATATAATTTTACACCTATTTTTTATTTCTAATTTAGATGCCTTTTATTTCTTTGTCTTGCCTAATTGCTCTGGCTAGAACTGCCAGTGCTACGTTGAATACAAGTGGCAAATGCACCATCCTTTTCTTCTAGATGTTAGGAAAACAGCTTTCAGTGTTTCATCATTGATCATGATATTAACTGTTGGGTTTTTGTACATCCCATTGTCATGTTGCAGAAGATCCCTTCTATGCCTAGTTTATTGAGTATTTTTATTATAGAAGGGTGTTGTATTTCATCAATGTTTTCTCTGCAGCAATTGAAATAATCACGTGCTTATTCATTTTACTGTTACAGCATATTACACTGATTGATTTTTTATATGTTGAACCACCCTTGCATTTTGGGGATAAATCTCAAAGGGTGATAGTTTACAATCCTTTGATTATACAGTATTGCTGCTGCTAGTATTTTGCTAGTATTGCTAGTATTTTGCTGAGATTTTTGCTTATATATTCATAAGGGATATAGTGCTGTATTTCTCTCTTTTGTGCTCTCTTTGTCTTTGGTATAAGGATAATGCTGTTATCAAAAAATGAATTAGCAAGTATTCCTTCTTCATATATTTTGTCAGAAGAGTTTGAGAAGAAATGGTATTAATTCTTCTTTAAATGTTAGGTTGACTCACCAGTTAATGCAGCTATTTGGTCATAAATGTTTCTTTGTTAATCGCTTTCGATTACTAATTCAATCTCCTAGGTTATAGGTCTATTCAGATTTTCTCTTTCTTCTTGAGCCACTTTGGTAGTTTGTGTCTTTCTAGCGATTCATCCATTTCATCCAGGGCACCTAATTTGTTGCTAGACAGTTGTTCACAGTATACTCCTGTAATCCTTTTGTATTTCTGTAAAGTTGGTAGTAATGGCTCTGCTTTCATTTATCATTTTAATAATTAGTCTTCCATCTTTTGCTCAGTCAATATAGTGAAAGGCTTGATCTTTCAAAGAATCTACATTTTTTCATTCTACTGCTCTCCAACCTTCTGTTTTATTGATTTATGCTCTAATTATGCTCTTTATTATTTCTTTCCTTCTGCTAGCTTTGGATTTAGTCTTCCACCTGGATTTATTTTGAGAGTGATATTGATGTAACTTCATGGAAATAATACTAGATAGAAAGTTAGCAGATAGATTCTCTATCTGATGAGAGTTTGGTGCAAGTCGAGTACCAGGTTACCAAGTTTTATTTTTTTCTCTGACCCAAAAAACAATTTGGCAGCCGGTGAGAAACTCTCACAGCTCTGGATGTGAGTTTAGGACACTGCATTTCTAGCATTCAATTTCTTAATACTTTTTTGCACAGGGATCATGGCACAATTTGCAGTTTCCACCCTGCCCATGGAAGATGAGGAGTCCATGGAAGATGAGGAGTCTGTTGAAGATGATTCCGTGGAGAGCAGGATGGTGGTGACATTTCTCATATCAGCTCTCGAGTCCACGGTGAGACCTTCTGTTCTAACATGATATAATTTGGTAGAACTGGGTGGTAGATAAGGTTGATTTTTTTTTTGTAGAACTTATAATTTTATGATTTGTAGTTCTAATGAGTAGATCTTTTTCTGGAATAGTAGTTATGTTCAAACACTTCTAACCAAATGTGCCATGTTGTCCAGTCTGGTCTCAAAATATGGGGCTCAAGAGACCTGCCCACCTTGGCCTCCCAAAATACTGGGATTACAGGTGTAAGCCCCTGAATCTGGCCAGATATTTTTCTTTTTATGGCTGAATAATACTCTGTGTATGTATATATTACATTTTCTTTATCTATTCACCTACTGATGGGCATTAGGTTTGGGCTACCTTCTGGCCACTGTGAATAATGCTGCTGTTAATCGGGTGTACAAATACCTGTTTGAGTCCCTGCTCTCAGTTCTTTTGGGTATATACGCTTAAAGGGTGTTGATGGATCATATAATTCTATGCTTCATATTTTTAAGGAGCTGCTAAACCATTTTCCACAGTGGGCTGTACCATTTTACATTCCAAAAAGCAATGCATACAGCTTCCAATTTCTCTATAGCATTGCTGACAGTTAATATTTTCTGTTTATGTATTGTATTTTTATAGTGTTTGAAATTAATCTGAGGCTTTTCACTGATACCAAAATATTAGGAAATGTTTTCCAAAAATAATACTGCTTATTATAGAGGATTTTACGTGTTACTTGATGCCCTGTGATCTGTTTTCTAAGTAAGAAGAGGAACTTCTTGGCTGGGCACAGCGGCTCATGCCTGTAATCCTAGCACTTTTGGAGACCGAGGTGAGTAGATCACCTAATGTCAGGAGTTCAAGACCAGCCTGGCCAACATAGTGAAACCCAGTCTCCACTAAAAAAAAAAAAATTAGCTGGGTGTGGTGGGGGGTGCCTCTAATCCCAGGTATTCGGAAGGCTGAGGCAGAGAATTGATTAAACCCATAAGGCAGAGGTTACAGTGACCGAGATTGCACCACTGCACCCCAGCCTGTGTGACAGAGTGAGAGTCCATCTCAAAAAAAAAAGGAAAGAAAGAAGAAGAACTTCTCTCCATCCAGCCTCATTCCACTACACCAACTCTTCTGTGTCTGGTTGTGCAGGGGAGAAAGGGAGCTTGGCAACTCTTTGCTGTGTTGAGTTGTGGTAGCCCATCACTGGGTTGTAAAGTGCCTTGCCTCCTTTCCTCCCCTCCTTTTTTTTGAGACAGAGTCTCACTCTGTCGTCCAGGCTGAGGTGCAGTGGTGCGATCTCTGCTCACTGCAACCTTAGCCTCCTGGGTTCAAGTGATTCTCCTGCCTCAGCCTCCCAAGAAGCTGGGACTACAGGCACATGCCACCACACCTGGCTAACTTTTTTTATTTTTAGTAGAGACAGGGTATCACCATGTTGGCCAGGCTGGTCTTGAACTCTTGACTTCAGGTGATCCACCCACCTTGGCCTCCCAAAGTGTTGGGGTTAAAGGCATGAGACACTGCGCCCATCCACCTCCTCTTTTACCTGGGAGAAATGCACAGATTCTGGGTGCCATGTGCATTTGTTTTGGGAGTGATAATTGATCTAACTTATGGAAATAATACTAGATAGTTAGCGGATGGATTCTGTATCTGATGAGAGTTTTGGGCAAAATGAATTCCTAGTTTCTGAGTCTTATTTTTCCCCTGATTCAAGATAACTGTGAATTATCCAGCCAGTAAAAAACTCTCACAGCTCTGGATGTGAGTTTAGGACACTGGATTTCTACCACTCATTTTCTTACTACTTTTCTTGTGCAAGGATCATGGCACAAGTTGCAGTTTCCATCCTGCCCATTGAAGATGAGGAGTCTGTTGAAGATGAGGAGTCCTTGGAGAGCAGGATGGTGGTGACATTCCTGTCAGCTCTCGACTCCATGGTCAGACCTTCTGTTCTCACATTCTGTAGTTCGGTAGGACTGGGCGGTAGATAAGGTTGATTTGTTTTTGTAGAACTTACAATTTTGTGATTTTTAGTTCTAATGAGTAGAACTTTTTCATGAATAGTAGTTACGGTCAAACACCTCTGACCAAATGTGCATGTGGAGTTTCTACACTGATTTTCAGACAATCTGGATCCCAACTGGGTATCCCACAATTCCATCCTGACACTCCCTGGAGTTAGTGCAGACCCTGCAGGATGGGAGCTCAGTCCCAGGAGTCTACCCTCACTCCACATACCAATTGCAAGTCTTGGGTTGTTACATGTAGTTTTGACCAACCAGTTAGAAAACAGGGTTTCATGACCCCCATTGGTGGGTGGAATCATTTGCTCGGACAGCTTGCAGAACTCAGAAAAACAGATTGTTTTCTTTTTTTTCTGAGATACAGGGTCTCAGTCTGTTGCCAGGCTGGAATGCAGTGGTGTGATCAAAGCTCACTGTAGCATGGGACTCCTGGGCTCAAGTGATCCTTCCACCTCAGCCTCCCAAATAGCTGAGATTATAGGCCTGTACCAGCATATCTGGCTATGTTCTTTTACTTTTTGTAGAGATGGGGTCTTGTTATGTTGCCCAGGCTGGTCTCAAATTTCTGGGCTCACGTGATCCTCCCACCTTAACTTCACAAAATGCTGGGATTATGGGCATGAACCACTGCATCTCACCAATTTACTTTCTTTTACTGGTTCATTTTAAAGGCTAAATCTCAGAAACAGCCAGTGAAAGAGATGTACATGCTGGGCACAGTGGCTCATGCCTGTAATTTCAGCACTTTGGGAGACTGAGGCGGGAGCATCACTTAAGTGCTCAGGAGATTAAGACCAGCCTGGGTAACAAGGTGAAAATGCATCTCTACAAAAAGATTTTTCTAAAAATTAGCCAGGCACAGTTATCTATAGTTCTAGCTACTCAGTGCCTATAATTCTAGCTACTCAGGAGGCTGAGGTGAGAGGATGAGAGGATGGGGCTTGAGATAGGGAGGCATAGTTCGCAGTGAGCCATGATTGTGCCATGACACTCTAGGCTGGGAGACAGAGCCAGACTCTGTCTCAAAAAAAAAATAAAAAACACACAGGGCAAGGTATGTCGAGAGGGGTACAGAACTTCCATGTCCTCTATTGTGCATATTACATTCCTGGTATCTCCCTTGTGTTCAGCAACCCAGACATTCTCCAACTCCAGCTGTTGAGGGCGCTTATGAACGCTTCATTATGCAGGCATGATTGGTGAAGTCATTGACCATTGGTGATTAAGTCAGTCTTCGGCCACTATTTCTTCCTGGAGCCCAGGGGGTGAGACTGACAGTTCCAAGCCTCTAATCACATGGTTTGTTCTTCTGACAACAACCACCCCTTTTTCTGAAGCTGTCTACAAGCTTTCAGTCACCCAGTCATCTCAGTAACATCACCAAATGCATTCTTACTATGGTGATCCCAAAGGTCTTAGAGGCTCTTGTGTTAGAAACCTGGGACTAAGACCAAATATTGAAACAGAAGATGCCCCATCACTTTCATCACCAAGGCCTTTATAAGAGCTTGAGAAGCTCTTTGCCAGGATGAGGGGCAGAAACCAAATGTGTATTTCTTTTCTTTTTCTTTTGAACACAGAGTCTCTGTTTCACCCAATCTGGAGTGCAGTGATGGTGTTGTAGCTAACTGCAGCCTCAACCACCTGTGCTCAAGCAATTCTCCCACCTCAGCCTTCCAAGCATCTGGGACTACAGGTGCACACCATCTATGCCCAGCTAATTGTTGTATTTTTTTGTAGAGATAGGATCTTGTTATATTGCCGAGGCTGGTCTTGAACTCTGGGGCTAAAGCGATCCTTTCACCACAACCTCTCAAGTAGCTGAAACTACAGATGCATACTACCATGCCCAGCTAATTTTTTCTTATTTCTTTTTGTTGTTTAATTGAGGGGGTCTCGCTGTGTTTCCCAGGCTGGTCCTGAAGTTTTGGCCTCAAGCGTTTCTCCTGCTTTGAACTCCTAAACTGTTGGGATTATGGTTGTGAGCCACGGCCTCTGTGTCCAGCAATCACAAGAGGTCTTTATAAGTGAAAGAGGGAGGTAAGAGAGTCCGAATTGAAGGAGATTTGATGATGGAAGCACAGGTCACAGAGGGAGATTTGAATATGCTTTGCTTCAGGCTTTGAAGATGCAGTTAGGGGCCATGAGCCAAAGAATAGGAGTGGCTTTAGCAACTGGGAAAGGCAAGGGAACATATTCTCTCCAGAACCTCCAGAAGGGATGCAGTCCTGCTGGCACCTTGACTTTAGCCTTAATAGACCTATTTTGGACTTCTGGCCCCCAGACCTCTTAGTGAGTAGATTTGTGGTGTATTAAGCCACTCAATGTAGGGTAGTTTGTAACAGCGGCAAGAAGAAATGAACATGAAGCCAGAATTGGTGGCCCACACCTATAATTCCAGCTATTTAGGAGGCTGAGGCAGGATGGTTGCTTTGGCCCAGGAGTTCACGATAAGTCTGGGCAACAAAATGATACCCTGTCTACATGGAAAAAAAAAAAAAATTAGCGGGTGTGGTGGCATGCACTTGTAGTCTTAGCTACTAGAGGCCCTGAGGCAGGACAATTTCTTGACCTAGGAGCTCCAGGTCTCAGTGCGTTGTGATCGTGCCATGGCACCCCAGTCTGAGTGACACAGCGAGATTATATCTTAGAAAAAAAAAGAAAAAAGAAATGAGTGAGCATGGCAGGAATAGGGACAGATAGCAATATTAAATAGAGTGGTCAGGGTTGGCCTCCTAAGTGAAAATTGAGCAAAGACTTGAAGGAGGGGAAGGAGCTGGCCAAGGTACTGAGGGAAGAGCATTTTAGGCAGAAACAACAGAATAAAGATGCTAAGAGGGAACTCCGTGGTGTGTCTGAAGCTCAGGAAAGAGGTCTGTGGAGTAGAGAGAGGGAGAGAAGTAGGGAAGGAGGCCAGGGAGTTGTTGGACTCAGATCAGTACAGATTGTGTAAGCCCTGGGAGGCTATTGCTGGGGCTTTGGTTTTTATTCTGTCTGAGATGGGAGATGCGGAAGGGTTCTGAGCAGAGAGTTGACACGAACTGTCTACTGATTTAAAAGCATCCCATGGCAGCTGAGTTGACAAAGATTGTGGGAAGATTTGGGTAGAAGCAGGGAGGCCATGCTGTGGCAACCTCCAGGTGGGAGATGATAGTGGTTCTGACCAGGGCCCTGGCAATGGTGAGAGATGGTTGATTCTTGTTGAAATGTTAAGTAATTAAAAAAAAACCACTACTGCTTTTCCCAATTATATGAAGTATGGGATGCTAGATTACAGAGATCTTAAGTCGGGCCAGGTGTAGTGGCTTATGCCCGTAGCTTCAGCACTTTGGGAGGCAGAGATGGGAGAATGGTTTGAGTCCAGGAGTTTGAGACCACCCTGGGCAACACAGCAAGACTTCCTGTCTATGCAAATAAAAATTAATAAAATATAATTATCCCGGCATAGTGGTATTTTCCTGTAGAACCTGTTACTTAGGTTGTTGAGGTGGGTAGATCTCTTGAGGGCGGGAGTTTGAGGCCAGCTTGGGCAACATAGCAAGGCTCCTCTTTCTACAAAAAAAAAAAAAAAAAAAAAAATTAGCTGGGTGTTTTGGTGTTCATCTGTAGCCGTAGCTATGGTGAGGGTGAGGCAGGAGGATCCCCGGAGCCCAGGAGGTCACGGCTGCAGTTAGCTATGAGTGCACCCCTGCATTGCAGCCAGAGTGACAGAGTGAGACCCGGTCTCAGAATACAGATACAAGTAAAGAAATCTCAGCTCAGAGCAGTCTGTTTGTCACTATGCAGCCTTTGCAACCCCATAGCTGCGCGATTGGGTTTGTGTTGCTGGAGGTGAGGAGACCCGTGCCCAGGTGTTGTTGCCTGTCTAATCAGTTTATTTTAAAATATATTAATGAAATTTATTTCATCATACTTTATGGCCTCATACCTGAATGGTTTTTTGAATTCTCCTTTGAATAGCTTGTAACTATTCAAACCTCTTATTGATTCTATAATTAATTCTTTTTCTAATTAGCTTTTTAAAAATCAGAATTGATATTAGACTAATCAGTTATTAATGAGGAGATGAAATTGAGTTGTTTGTACACTTTATCTAAGATAGTGTTATATTGGCTAACTCAAATCAGTAGTTCAGCAAATGCAGAATCAGAGCTTCTTCAGCGTGGAACTCTCTTGTGGTTCTTGAAGATGCCATTTCTTTCTTTTTTTTTTTTGAGACAGCATCTTCCTCTGTCACCAGGCTCGAGTGCAGTGGCACAATCTCAATTCACAGCAACTTCTGCCTCCCGGGTTCAAGCATTTCTTTTGCCTCAGCCTCTGAAGTAGCTGGGACTACAGGCACATGCCACCATGCCCGGCTAAGCTTTGTATTTTCTGTAGATACGGGGTTTCAGCATGTTGGACAGGCTGGTCTTGAACTCCTGACCTTGTAATCCACTGGCCTTGGACTCCTAAAGTGCTGGGATTACAGGTGTGAGCCACCGTGCCTGGCCTCTTTTTTCAGTCTTTAATAAACTGCTGCCATCATTTCAGACCACTTGCTATTTTAGGCACTTAGAAATTTTTCACTGGAATTCATGTAAAGAAAGACCATGGGTGTTTGTACTGGATTTAGTATTCATCCTTCGACTGCATGACTCACCCCTAGTGCCATAATTTTACTAAAGAATTTTTCAGATACTACTCAGCTGGCCACTGAACCTAACCAGCAACCCACCCTCAACCATTCAGTGGTCTTTTGTTCTTCTATGTTCCTCCTGAATGTTGATTACTCTCAGAAGGTGATAAAAACTTGGATTTCTTTTTTTTTTCTTTCTAGAGACAGGGTTTTGTTCTGTCACCCAGGCTGCAGTGCAATGGCATGATCATGGTTCACTGCAGCCTGAAACCCCGGACTCAAACAGTCCTCCCACCTCAGCCTCCCAAGTAGCTGGGACTACATACATTTGCCCCTATTCCCAGCTAACTTCTTTATTTTTTATTGTACAGATGGGATCTTGCTGTGTTGCTCAGGATGTTGTCAGACTCCTGGCCTCAAGTGATCATTCTGCCTCAGCTTCCCAAAGTGCTTGGATTATATGTATGTGGGAGCCACCTGTGTTCAATGCCCATTTTCTTTTTCTTTCTTTCTTTTGGAGACGGACTCTCACTCTGTCATGCAGGCTGGAATGCAGTGGTGTGATCTCAGCTGACTGCAACCTCCACCTCCCTGGTTCAAGCAACTCCCCTGCCTCAGCCTCCCGACTAGCTGGAATTACAGGCCCATGTCACCACTCTCAGCTAATATTCTTGTATTTTTAGTAGAGACAGAGTTTCAGTATGTTGGCCAGACTGGTCTCGAACTCCTGAAATCAGGCAATCCACCCACCTTGGCCTCCCAGTGTGCTGAGATCAGAGGCGTGAGTCACCACACCATGCCCAGCCATTTTTAAAATAATAACGTTATTGAAATATGATTAACGTATCATGCAATTCATTTATCAAAGTACACAATTCAGGCCAGGTGCAGTGGCTAATTCCTATAACGCTAAGACTTTGGGCAGCTGAGGCAGGTGGATCGCTTGTGTTCAGGAGTTTGCGACTAGCCTGGGCAACATGGCAAAACAGCATCTCTAGCAAAAATACAAAAATTAGCTTGGTGTGGTGGCTCATGCCTGTAGTCCCAACTACTTGGGGACATGAGACTGGAAGATCACTTGAGCCCAGAAGCCATAGGTTGCAGTGAGACCAGATGGCACCACTGCACTACAGCATGGGTGACAAAAGGAGACCGTCTTTAAATAACTAAAGAAAAAAAGAAAGTATACAATTGAGTGGTTTTTAGAATATTCAAGGAGCTGTGCATCCATCACCACAGTCTTTCTTAGAAGTGATTACCCACTTGTGAGTTACCCACTTATGAGTGAGAAACCCTCACCTCTTAGCCGCTACCTCCTACGTACCCCATGTTCATAGGCAACCAGTGATTTATTTTCTGTCATTGTAGTTTTGCCTAATCTGGACCTTTTATAGAAATAGAATTGTACAATGTGTGATCTTTTGTAATTTGCTTTTTTTTCTCTTAGCAGAATGTTTTCAAATTTCTTTCATGTTATAGTGTGTATCAGGATTTCTTTCCTTTTGTAGCTGAGTAATATTTTATGTTTATCCATTCATTAGTTGATGGACATTTGTGTTGTTTTTGCGTATTCACCATCATGAGTCAGGCTGCTATGAACACTCGTACGTAAGTTTTAGTGTGAACATATATTTTTATTTCTCTTGGATTTACACTCAGGAGTGAAATTGTTGCATTATGTGATTACTATACATTTAGTCTTTGAGAAACTGCCACGTTGTTTTTCAAAGTGGTTACACTGGTCAGGCACAGTGGCTCACACCTTTAATCTCAGGTATTTGAGACGCTGAGTTTGGAGGATTTTCTTAGCTCGGGAGTTCAGGACCACCCTGGGCAACATAGGGAAACAATATCTTGATTTTTTAAAAAAATCAAATGCCAAGAAAACACCCAAATTGATTACACCATTTTATATTCCCACCAGTAATGTATGTGAGTTCCAAGTATTCCAATTGTCACCAACTTTTTTTTTTTTTTTGAGACAAAATCTTGCTCTGTTGCGCAGGCTGGAGTGCAGTGACATGAACATGGCCAGTGCAGCTGTGACCTTCCAGGCACAAGTGATCCTCTCACCTCAGCCTCCTAAGTAGCTGGGACTTACAGGTGCATGCTATCATGAGCAGCTGATTTTTACAGTTTTTGGTAGAAATGGGGTGTTGTCATGTAGCCCAGGTTTGTGTCAAACTCCTGAGCTCAAGTGATCTGCCTGCTTCAGCTTCCGGAAGTGCTGAGATTACAGGTGTGTGCCACCATGCCCGACTGGTGTAACCACTTTGGAAAGCAGCCACTGAGCCCGGCCTTCACCAGTATACCAATATTTGTTAATATCGTTTTATTTTTTACAATTTTTAAATTTTTAAAAACTTATTATTTTACCTGTATTATTGATTATAATAAACAACGAATAATTTTGTAGTAGAGTTGAGTCCCCCCAAAAAGTATTTATTGTTTAACTGAAGTAGTTTTTTTTTTAACCTGGATATATATTTTTTCATTTTCACTTTATTTTTAGTGTTTATTTTTAAAAATTATTTATATGTATTTTTATTTTAATAGGTGTTTGAGAAACAGGTGGTGTTTGGTTCCATGAATAAGTTCTTCAGTGTTTATTTCTGAAATGTAGTACCCCTCATTACTCATTAAATTATATATTAAGTCATTATAAAATCATTAATAAACCAAGGACTTTAGTAAAATGGGAATTTTATTTTAACTTGCAACCTGGGACGTAACTGTCAAAAAAATTAGAGAAATTACCACATTAAGGTTTTCAAATCTTGAACTGAAAAATGAAAACCTTGGTGCACCTAAGAACCACCAGCCCACTGGTCAAAGTGAACAAAACTAAATGAAAAAATAAAACCAAGAAAACCAAACTCAGGATTATTAGGTATTCTGTAATGCTATTTTATCTTTGGACTCACAGAAAATAATTATTATTATTATTACTATTATTATTATTATTATTATTTTGATATGGAGCCTCACTCTGTCACCCAGGCTGGAGTGCAGTGGTGCAATCTTGGCTCACTGCAACCTCTGCCTCCTGGGTTCAAGTGATTCTCCTGCCTCAGCCTTCAGAGTAGTTGGGATTACAGGCAGGTTCCACCATGCCTGGCTAACTTGTATTTTTGATAGAGACAGGGTTTCACCATGTTGGCCAGGCTGGTCTGAAACTCCTGATCTCAAGCAATCTGCCTACCTCAGCCTCCCAAAGTGCTGGAATTACAGGCATGAGCCACTGTGCTCAGCTGAAAATAGTTAATTTTATGTATATTTCAAGTCAGAATACAACCTATTTTTGAATATTTGATGACTTTAGGATACTATATTAAATCTTAATTGAATTAATACAAGTTTAGGTGTAAAGATGATGTTTATGTTGACAAAAATTATTAGTGTTTTACATATATGAAAGTAACAATATCATATATTTTTCGTACTTGTAGAATACTTTGAAATCTATTATTAGCTAACATTTTATATTCATTTTGGGTTTTCACATTATTGTTAGATCCAGAGAAAAGTAATATTTTCTGAATACTCAAATCATAAACATTTTGCTGGATGCATTCATAGATACTTTATTTAAAAAGTACACTAATTGAAGTTTTACACCATTTTATGATTCATCAAACACAGCAACTGAATACTGGCGTATAGCAACATTTCAGATGATGTTAGTCTAAGATAAAACTCATAACACATTTTAAAAAGGGTAAAAGGAAGGAAAGGAAAAAGGATACAAGGCTGTAGAAAGATTTTAAAAACAAACGTCGTATGTCTGAACCTTTGCCTGGAGTTTCATATTTTGTGAAAAGCAGTTTGTAAGTAGAGGACTCGTAAGTGCACCTAGTACACTGCAATGGCACAGACACGGCAGATAGTCAATAAAATGATCTTTAACTTCTGATCTAGGTTATTTTTGTTGTTGTTCATGTATTAACCTAGTGAAACTCAGCCAATAGATGGAGTGGCATTGACCTGTACAACTTCCAAAATCCCATCCAACCTTAGTGTCCTCTGAAGTTCTCCATAACTTATTGTCTGTTCCTACCAACATTTAGCATAAGCTACAGCTTATATTGTTAATAATTCTTCTATGTTTATGTGCTGACTTGCAAATAAATGGGCCTATATAGTCTTTATCTAGTGTTGGATTGGGATCAAAAGCTTCATGAAATCATTGTTTTTAGTATACGTACAGATGGATAATTGTATAAATAAGTACAGATGTGTATAAATGTGTGAGTATACATACATATATTTTCTAGCTCCTCTAACAAAAGGGCCTAGAAACAACATCATCCCAGTAACAATGAGAACACCACTCTCCAATTAAAGGAACCAAGGCTCCTTGGGGACATATTTGATATCAGGATTGGGCAGGGAAAATACAAGATTAGTTTGAAATATTTTGTCATGTTAGGAAGTAAGGAAATGCTCACAAAATGGGGAAAATGTGAAAGGGAAACAGATCCACTTTGAATAAACTTCCATAGCCAAATTTGAGAAAATTGGGGCAATAAAATAGATAACAATAGTAATATATTACAATCTACAGAAGAAAATTTTCAATTAATCCAGGCCGGGTGCGGTTGCTCATGCCTGTATTCCCAGCACTTTGGGAGGCAGAGGCGGGCAGATCACTTGAGGCCAGGAGTTCGAGACCAGCCTGACCAATGTGGTGAATCCCTGCCTCTACTAAAAATACAAAAATTAGCCGGGCATGGTGGCACATGCCTGTAGTCCCAGCTACTCCGGAGGCTGAGGCAGGAGAATGGCTTGAATCCCAGAAGGTGGAAGTGTAGTGAGCGGAAGTCGCACCATTGCACACCAGCCTGGATGACAAAACAAGACTCCAACTCAAAAAAAATCCATATTGACATAAATAATAAACCAAAGATTGAGAATGGGTAGTATTTTATTACAGTAAGATTTCATTAAATGTAGGAGACATAAAATATAAGAATCATCACTTTGCAAATATCATAGTAATAATTGTTGCAAGAAAGAACCTTGGAGGGATGCTAAGATTAGTGGTGAGTATATGTTGGGAAAGAACATATTTGCATAATATGAAAGTATCTTCCCACAAGATAATTACAGAATAGTAACTTCAAAGTGGAGATGTCAACTTAGCCAAGTGATCAAAGTTAACATTACTAATAATAAGATAAATGAACTTCATGTAACTTCTTATATGATGCACTGAGTAGGACAAAACATCAATTCTATGGTATTCTTAGACAAAATGTATAACTTTAGTCCTAACCGTGAGAAAACATCAGACTAACTGAAATTGAGGAGGGACATTCTACAAAATAACTGCCAGTATTCATCAAAAGCATTTTAGAAAGACTGAGGAATTCTCCAGAGACATGGAGGCATGTTATCTAAGTGCAATGGAGAACATGCATTGTATCATGAACCAGAGATGGACAACAGTAGGATATGTACAATAACACCCCAACATTTGAACATTACACAAAATACTTCAGAAAAGCCTATTGGCCAAGAAAAGTTTCACACACAAAAAAAATAGTTTAAACTGAAAGAAAATTTTTTAAAAACTTAATAAAATGTGGGATGCAGATAAATCGTTTCTTAAAGGTACATTTATAGATGTAATATATTGAAAATAAAAGGCTTCAATCAATGACCTTTAGGTTCTTTTTTAAGAGGCTAAAAAATGAGCAAAGTATATCCAAATTAAGAGGAAGGAAGATGATAAAGATAAAAATGTAAACCAACAACATAGCAAATAACAAAAGGTGGAGCTAATTAATATACCCACAAATTGGTTCTTTGAAAAAAATTTTTTAATAAACAATGGCTAGCAAGATTTATCTCGAAAAAAATTACAGAAGCTACATAATGTAGATAATGGGAATTAAATAGAGGATGTAACTACAGAACCTACAGACATCAATATAATTATGAAAACTTTAGGCCAATACATTTGACAATTAAAATAACATGGGAAATTATTTGTAAAACTAATTCTTAAAACTAATGCAAAATGAAATAGAAAAAGTAATAGCTTCTCTATGTATTGAAGAATTTTTTTAATTAAAAAAGATTTCTATAATTACAGGCTACATGCTTTCTCAGGTGAATTCTATCAAACATTTAAGAAAGTACAGAGAGTCCTCAACTTACAGTGGCTTGACTTGTGCTCTTCTTACTTGATAATGGTGCTTTCATCTGTGTACGTTAATGATGAGCATCAATATGACCAGTTTTTCACTATCAGTATAGTTTTCAATAAATTTCATGAGATACTCAATATTTTAAAATGGGCCTTGTGGTAGATGATTTTGCCCAATTGTAGGATAATGTAAGTGTTCTGAGCAAGTTTAAGGTAGGCGAGGCTAAGTCATGATATTCAGTAGGTTAAATATATTAAATGCGTTTTAGACTTACAATATTTTCAATTTAGGATGAGTTCATTAAGACATAAAACAATTGTAAGTTGAGGAGTATCTATAACATCAATCTTGAACGGACTCTTTTTAAGAAATAGAATTTAAGGGCCGGACACAGTGGCTCACACCTGTAATCCCAGCACTTTGAGAGGCCAAGACGGGCAGATCACCTGGGGTCAGGAGTTTGAGACCAACCTGACCAGCATGGAGAAACCCCCGTCTCTACTAAAAGTACATAATTAGCAGGGCATGGTGGCGCTTACCTGTAATCCCAGCTCCTTGGGAGACAGAGGCAGGAGAATAGCTTGAATCTGGGAGGCAGAGATTGTGGAGAGCCGAAATTGTGCCATTGCACTCCAGCCTGGGCAACAAGAGTGAATCTCCGTCTCAAAAAAAAAAAAAAAAAAAAGAAAATTTAAAGGGACATTTCCTATCTTATTTTATGAACCCAGTATTGCCGATTCCAAATCGAGACAAAGGCATTATACAACTTTGATGTTTATCCCTCATAAACATAGACTCAAAAGTCCTTAAAACATAATAACCAATTGAATGTAGCAGTACATAGAATGGATAATAAACTGTGAACCAATTAAATTTCTAGCAAGATTGCAAAGTTAATTTATTATTTGAAAGATCAGTTTAATCAATTTCATTCACCTGGATGGTTACACCTGGCAAAACTCAGCAAACTGTGCACTTTAAAATAGTATTTATTTTATGTAAATTATGTTTCAATACAATTGATTTTTTAAGAAAAAAAAACGTTTCCCAGAGTGATCAAAGTGGAGGGCAGGGAACAGTAAACATCAGTGCTTATGTTATAGCTACTAAAAGCCTCCCAATTCCAACGACATGCTTTCAAGCAGGTCTGATCCTTCCCCTGGAGGATACCTCTGACCCAGGTGTGCTACAAATGCATTGCCCCTAGTTGCTTCTGTCACCTTAGTGATGGAAGTGACAAGAGGGTACTGGAGAAAGAAAAGGTGTACAAGGTTCCAAATGTACATTCTATTTCCAAAGGACATTTGTGAAGCCAGTGGAAAGCGAACAAACAAGCTGCTAAATAAGTCACAAGTGTGTTCTCGTACAGTTTTGCGATTAACTAAATAGGACATTCAACAGATAAAATTTGTTTTACATAGTTACTCCTCTAACAGGATGAACTTGTGGATTGTGAGATAGGACTGATATAACCTGTTTTCTCTCTGCCTCTTTTTTTTCCCCCAAGTTTTGTGTGCAATACATTAGGAAAAATATAATTGGGCTACAAAGCTACAAAAATGGCTTCCTGGCAGTTCCATGCTTGTTTCCATGTGGTGCCTATGTTTGGCACTATGTTCTCATTTGCACTTTCCTACTTGATTAGTTAATGTATGAAGGACAAGCCTGATCTCTACTGTGAATTTTTACCAAGGTATTCTAGTAGAAAAATGAGTATGTAATGGTGCTGTGGAATGCTAAAGTGTGTAAAACATTAAGAATCTAAAAATTTGCTCATTTCCAAGTTTTGTCCCAGAGCAACTGTGCACTCTGATTATATCGCTACTGCTATTTAAAGTTATCCATTTGCATGTCTAAAAAATAGATTCATACTGATTGTCCCATTTTGATCTCAAAAAACTCCTGAATATGAGAGTCGTGATCAAGGGACGCTTCATGAAATGTTCCAAAGTTAAAGTGTGCAATGAAACCAGATTTATCATAGCCTTATTTAAAATAATTATTTCTAAAATTGTTATTGTTTAATTATAAACGGTATCCTTTCAGGATACTTGGAAGATCCATAGCAGTGTTTTTATTTTCACAGAACAAGCATAAATTATTTATGAAATAATAACTCAGATACAGAGATTACTTCCTATTGGCCTTACATATGAATATAAATAAATACATATTATGAACATGAGCATACTTATTTTATAATTATGTAAACGTGTGTGTAATGTTATATATAAGTTCAATAAAGTCATGCTTATACATGGTTTCAATTCATGCTTCTAAAAACCACTCAATGTAGTCATTATCATATGTTAATAAATAATCTCTGAAAATGTGCTTCTAGTAGTTGCACAATATCCCATCATAAAGATTGTCATGCTGTTTTTAAATCATACTTTTGGGTATATAAGTTATATCTGATATTTTTCTGCTACATATATACTATTATAAATCTATTAGTAGCTGATTTTTTGTCAACACATATGATTGTTTCCTCACAATAGTACAAGAGTTGGTTGTAACTTTATTTCCTTCCAACATTTATTTTAGGTTCAGCGGGTACATGTGCAGGTTTATTATATGGGTAAAATGTGTGTCAATGGGATTGGTGTACAGATTACGTAGTCATCCAGGTAGTGAACGTAGTATCTAATAGGGAGTTTTTTGATCCTCACTCTCCCCCAACTCTCCACCCACAGTAGACCTTGTGTCTATTGTTCCCTTCTCTGTGTCCATGTGGACTCAATGTTTAGCCCCCACTTATAAGTGAGAACATGCAGTGTTTGTGTGGTTTTCTGTTCCTGCATTAATTCACTTAGAATAATGGTATCCAGCTCCAATCATGTTGCTGCAAAAGACATTATTTCATCCTATTTTATAGGTGTGTAGTATTCCATGGTGTATGTACGCTGCATTTTTTTAATCCAGTCTTCTGTTAACAGGCATCTAAGTTGATTCCGTGTCTTTGCTATTGTGAATAGTGTTATAATGAAAATTTGCGTACATATGTCTATGACAGAATGATTTATATTCCTTTGGGTATATACCCAATAATGGGATTGCTGGGTTGAATGGTAGTTCTGTTTTAAGTTATTTCAGAAATCTCCAAACTGCTTTCCACAATGGCTGAACAAATTTACATTCCTGATGAAACTGGAGACTTCCCTGACTCCCCTTGGCAGGATGTGCAACAGGGGTGTGGCTTGTCTGGCCACCGTGTGTGCTGTCAAACCCCTTACTGGGCAGGGAGGCATGCAGACAGGCAGGTGCAATAGGCAGGGCAAGTGGCCATGGTACTGTCTAGGGGTGGGTTCCTGCGACTCCCACAGCCCAAGTGGGCATGTGTTACAGTGCACTCTTTTAGCTTTGCCATCCACAGATGGCTTAAGTGTTAACCTGTTCAGTGCCCTCTTGGTACCCAGTTCCTTGTCCAGCATCCAGAAAGAATTAAGTTGCACACAGACTTGAGGATGGTGAATGTGGGGGTTTTATTGAGTGGTGGAGGTGGCACTCAATGGGATGGATGGGAAGCTGGAAAGGGGATGGAATGGGAAGATGATCTTCCCCGGGAGCTTTGCCATCCAGAGGCTGATCTCTCCAACCACTGCCAGCCAAACTCGTCTTGGCATTCAGATGCTCCTTCTCTTCTTTCTGCCACATCATTCTGCAATTCTCCTCTTCTGTTCATCTCCTCATCTGCTTGTCTGCTTCTGGAGCCTGGGGTCTGGGGCATATATGGGTACAGGACAGGGGGTGCATGGTGAGCTGAAAGACAACTTTTGGGTGCAAAAGCAGGAATGCCTGTTCCCATTTAGGGCCATGGGTTTCCAGGCTTGTGGGCAGGGCTTTGCCAGGGAACCACTCTCTTCTACCCAGTAGTTCCCTGTCTCCTTTCTATATCACCACCAGCAGTGTATAAGCATTCCCTTTTTTCCACAAACTTGGCACCGTCTGTTATGTTTTGATTTTTTAATAATAGCCATTCTGACCGGTGTGATATGGTATCTCATGGTTCTGATTTTCTGATGATTAGTGATGTTGAGTATTTTTTCATATGGTTGTTTGCCATACATACGTTGTCTTTTGAAAAAAGAATCCACAGACGGCTTAAGTGTTAACCCGTTCAGTGCCCTCTTGGTACCCAAGTCCTTGTCCAGCATCCAGAAAGAAGTTGCACATGGACTTGAGGATGGTGAATGTGGGGGTTCATGTTCTTTGCCTATTTGTAGTGGGTTTGTTTTTTGCTTATTGATTCTTTATACATGCTAAGTATTAGACCTTTTTCAGATATGTAATTTGAAAATATTTTCTTCTGTTCTGTAGGGTGTTCTCTGTTGATAGTTTCTTTTGCTGTGCTGAAGCTCTTTAGTTTCATTAGGTCCCACTCGTCAATTCTTCTTGTTGCAATTGCTTTTGGAATCTTCATCATGAAATATTTGCCTGCGCCTATGTCCAGAATGATATTTCCTAAGTTTTCTTCTAGGGTTTATATAGTTTTGGGTCTTACATAAGTCCTTCATCCATCTTGAGTTGATTTTTGTATATGGTGAAAGGAAGGGAGTGTACATGCCCCTGTGATATTGTTCCTAATATCCAGGTTGGGAGAGGATATTATACTCAATATTGCAGGAAGTGTCGACCACCCTGAATGTTGCTTTTAATATCCGGGGAGAGAGGGTGATATTACTCCCAATATCATCCTCTCCCCCCACACCCTGCATAGTACAAGCAATATCAAAGGGGGTCTGTGCAACACGTGCAATATTGGGAGTAATATCCTCCCCCAACATGGATATTAGAAACAGTATCACAAGGGGTTGTACACCACCTGTGATATTGGGGAGTACTATCATTTTCTTTCCCCATGGATATGTAGAACAATATCACAAAGGTGGTGTACAACCCCTGCTATATTGGGAGTAATACTGTACTTTCCCCACCTAGATATTAGGAACAATATCACGGGGGGTTATACACCACTGCAACATTGGGAGTAATATCATCCTTTCCCTCCCTGGATATTAGGAACAATAACTCATGGGTGTCTACACCCTGTTCCATATTGGGATTAATATTTTCTCCCTTGCTGGACATAAGGAACAATATAACGGGGGGTATACACTCCTTATGATATTGCCAGTAATATTATAGACTCCCCCCAGGGATATTAGAAAGAGTATCAGAGAGGGGTGTACATCCCCTGCAATATTGGGAATAATATTCTTTCTTTCCCTGGATATTAGGAATAATATCACAAAGGGGTTGTATAACCCCCGTGACATTTTAATTAATATCATCTTCCCCACTGAATATTAGGAACAAATTCCCAGGGGGTTGTACACCACCTGCAATATGGACAGCTATATCATTGTCTCTCCCCCGAATATAAGGAACAATATCACAGGGTGGTTGTACACCCACTGTGATATTGGGAGTAATATCATCCTCTACCCCCTGGGTATTATGAACAATATCATGGGGAGGGGGTGTATGCCCTCTCTGATATTGGGAGTAATATCATCCTGTCCCCTCTGGATATTAGGAATGATATCACAGCGGGGCTGTACCTTTTCTGCACTATTGGGAGTGGTATCACCCTCTCCCCCTATGGATATTAGGAACAATATCACAAAGGGGGTGTACACATCCTGCGATATTGAGAGTAATATTGTCCACTCTTCCCCGAGATATTAGGAACAATATCACAGGCGGAGTGTACACCCCCTGCTATTTTACCTGTAATATTATTCTCTCCCAACCTGGATATTAGGAATAATATAACAGGAGGGGTGTACACCACCTGTGATATTGGGAGTAATATCATTCTCTCCCCCCATGGATATTGAGAACAATATCACAGGGGCGGTTTACACCTCCTGCGACATTTAGAGTAATATCATCCTTTTCCCCCATGGATATTAGGAATGATATCGCATGGGAAGTGTACACCCCCACCATATTGGGAGTAATATTTTCTCCATTGCTGGACATTAGGAACAATATCACGGGAATGCACACACCCTGCGATATTGCCAGTAATATCGTAGTCTCCTCCCAGGATATTAGGAACAATATCACAAGGGGGGTGTACATGCCCTGTGATATTGGAAGTAATATCATCGACTCCCCCCACGGATATTAGTAACAATATCAGAAGGGTGTACACCCCTTGCGATATTTATAGTACTATCATCCTATACCCCCTGGATATTAGGAACAATACCACGGGGGGTTTATACCCACTGTGATATTGGGAGTAATTTCATCCTCTACCCCTTGGATGTTAGGAGCAGTATCACAAGGGGGGTGTGCACCCTCTGTGATATTAAAAATAATACCATTCTCTCCTTCTCTGGATACTAGGAATAATATCACAGTGCTGGTGTGCACCTTTGGAGCAATATCATCCTCTCCCCAACTTGATATTAGAGACAATATCATGGGGGGTGGCGTGTAACACCCTGCACTGTTGGGAGTACTATCATCTAGTCTTCCCCTGGATATAAGAAACAGTATCACAGAAGGGGTCTACACCTCCTGAGATTTTGGGAGTAATATCATCCTCTCCAAATCTGGATATTAAGAACAGTATAATGGGGTGTGGGGAGTAATATGGTGGGAGTAATACAATCCTCCTCCCCACTTGCTATTAGGAACAATATCGCAAAACGTGTGTACACCCACTGTGACATTTGGAGTAATATCAACATTTCCCCACCTGCTATCATGGGGAGAGTGTACACTCCTTACGATATTGGAAGTATCATTGTCTCTCACTCTCGATATTAGGAAAAATAGCACAGGGTGTGTATACACTTCCTGTGATTTTGGGAAGAACATCATACCCTTCTGTCTTTGATATTAGGAACAATATCACAGAGGGGGTGTACAACTTCTGTGATATTATAATATTCTTTCTTCCCATGGATATTAGGAATGATATCCCGGGCGGCTTGTTGTACACCCCCTGTGATACGGACAGTAATATCATTGTCCTTCCCCCTACATATTAGAAACAATATCACAAGGGTGGTATACACCCCCTGGATATTAGAAACTATCACAGGGGGGCTGTACAACCTCTTTGATACTGTGAGTAATACCATTGTCTCCCCTCCTGGGTATTAATAACAATATCATAGGGTGGGTGTACACCCCCTGCAATATTGGGAATAATATCATCCTCTCTTCCCAGGGATATTAGGAACGTTATCACAGGTGGGGTTTACACCCCCTGCAATTTTGTCAGTAATATTACTTCTGGATGTTATTGAATATATCACAGTGGGGGTGTACAACCCCTGTGATATGGGGAGTAATAGCATCCTCTTTCCCACTGGATACTACAAACAATATCGCAGATTGTGTACAACCTCCTGTGATATTGTTCACAATATTTAGGGAAGGAGAGGATGATATTACTCCACATATGGCAGGGAGTGTTACATCCCCTGTAATATTGTTCATAATATTTAGAAGACGACAGGATGATATTACTCCCAATATAGTAGGAAGTATACACTCCCCTGTGATACTGTTCATAATTTTTAGGGGATTAGAGGATGATATTACTTCCAATATCACAGGGAGTGTACACTGGTGATATTGTTTATAACTTTCAGTGGATTAGAAGATATTATCCAGAATATCACAGGGGTTGCACACCCCAAGTGATATTGTTAATATCCAGTGGGAAAGAGGATGATATTACTCCCCATATCACGGGGGATGTAAACCCGTTTGTGGTATTGTCACTTACATCCGGGGGGGAGAGGATGATATTACTCTGCATATCATAGAGGGTGCACACGGCTGTAATGTTGTCCATAATAACATCCAGAGGGGAAGAGAATATTATTCCCATGTTTCAGAAGGTGTACACACCCCTGTGATAGTCTCTGTAACATTTAGGGAAGAAGGGGATGATACTACTCCAGATATTGCAGGGGGTGTACATCCCCCTGTGATACTGTTCGTAACGTTTAGGGGGAAGAGGATGATATTACTCCCCATATCGAAGGGATTGTACATCTCCCTATATATTGTCCATAACATCCAGGGCAGGAGAGGATATTACTACTCCCCATATCACAGGGGGTGGACACCCCCCTCTAAATATGTCTAACATCCAGGCGGGGACAGGAGGATATTTTTCCCCATAACCCAGAGAAAGTAAACCTCCTGTGATATTGTCCATAACATCCAGTGGGGAGAGGATGATATCACTCCCCATATTGCAGGGGGTGCACACTCCACTCTGATATTGGCCGTAATATCCGGGGGGGGGTGAAGTATGAAGTCACTACACATATCGCAGGGATTATTAGTATCAGATTGTTTGAAGGGCTCACAGTAAGGGTAGTAGTAGGGCGAGTTCTAACTCAAATAGGGGAAATGTGATGTCTACTAGAAAGAATTTTATGGAGAAGGGAATGTGGGCAGAGGATAGAGGGTCAAATCTGCATTCATAAGGGCTAGATTTTTCTATATATATTTATTTTATACATATATATATTTTTTTCTCTCTTCTCTACATATATATATTAAGTTGTGGGAGCCAAAATGTAATAATTATTAGTAACAGGGCTAATAGGGTGTTGATTACTAGGGTTAATGTTAGGTGAATTACTGTTTTTCGGATGCTATCAAAACTTTGGAAATCATGGTACTATTTATACTAAAAGAGTAAGATCCTCATCAATAAATAGAAACATACAAGAATAGTCATACTATATCTACAAAGTGTCGATATCAGGCAGCGGCTTCAAAGGCAAAATGATGACTAGATGTAAAGTGGTATTTTAATTGGCGGAGAAGGCAGACTGAGGAATGTTGATCCAATAATGATGTGAATTCTGTGAAAGCCTGTAGCTATAAAAAAATGTTGAGCCATAAATACCATCAGAAATAACAAAGGGAGCTTTGAAGTATTCTGAGACTTGTAGGAAGGTGAAGTAAATATCTAATATAATTGTAACAAGTAGTGCTTGGATTGTATGTTTTTGATTATTTTTTGTTAGGCTGTGATGGGCTCAAGTAATTGAAATTCCTGATGCAAGTAATACAGATGGATTCAGGAGAGGTACTTCCAGGGGGTCAAGGGGAGAAATACCTGTTGGGGGTCAATGCCCTCCTAATTCTGGAGTAGGGGCTAGGCTAGAATGGTAGAATGCTCAAAAGAATCCAGCGAAGAGGAATATTTCTGAGATAATAAATAGGACTGTCCCATATTGGAGGCCTTTTTGAACAGTTGTTGTATGGTGACCCTGAAATGTACTTTCTCAGATACAGAACACCCTTGGTCAATTGAATACAGATCAATCACTTTAAGTAAGCTAAGTCCTTACTAAATTGATGAGACTGAAACCCATGAAAACTTAACAGCTAAACTCCCTAGTCAACTGGTTTGAATCTACTTCTCCAGCAGCTGGGGGAAAAAAGGTGAGAGAAGCAGGATTGAAGCTGCTTCTTTGAATTTACAATTCAACATGAAAATCACCTTGGGACTGGTAAAAACAGGCGTTGACCTCTGTTTTTAGATGTACAGTCTAATGCCCTACTCAGTCATTTTACCCTTTTTTCTCACTTCATTTATGTTGGCTGACAGTTGACTATTCTCAACCAACCATAAAGATATCGAGACATTATATTTATTATTTGGCACATGAGCAGGGATAGTCAGTACAGCTTTAAATTCGAGCTGAACTCTACTAGATGATCAAATTTATGTCATTGTTATAGCCTATGCATTTGTCATAATTTTCTTTATGGTAATACTATAATTGGAGGTCTTGGCAACTGATTAGTCCCCCGATAATTGGCGCCCCCGATATAGCATTTCTCTGCATAAATAATATGAGCTTCTGACTCCTCCCACCCTCCTTCCTTTTATTACTTGCATCCACTATAGTAGAAGCCGGCACTGGAACCGGCTGAACAGTCTCTCCTCCCTTAGCAGTAAACCTAACACATGCAGGCGCCTCTGTAGATTTCACTATCTTTTCACTCCACTTGACAGGTGTTTCTTCTACTTCAGGGGCTATTAACTTTATTACCACAATTGTTAATATAAAACCCCCAGCCATGTCCCAATATCACACACCCCTCTTCATCTGATTAGTCCTAATTACAGCAGTTCTTCTACTCCTTTGTCTCCGAGTCCTAGCCGCCGGCATCACTATATTGTTAACTGACTGCAATCTTAATACTACTTTTTTCTATCTGGCTGGCGGAGGTGATCCTATCTTATTTCAGCATTTATTCAGATTCTTTGGTCACCCTGAAGTCTACATCCTCATCCCACTGGGCTTTGGGATAATTTCCCACGTCGTAACATACTATTCTGGAAGAAAAAAGAACCATTCAGGTATATGGGCCTAGTGTGAGCTATAGGATCAGTTGGGTCCTTACGGTTTATTGTATGGGCCCACCGTATATTTACGGTAGGGATAGTTGTGGATACATGAGCCTGCTTCACCTCTGCTATTATAATTATTGCTATTCCTACTAGCGTCAAAGTTTTTAGCTGACTAGCTAGCTACACTTCACGGCGGTAATATCAAATGATCCCCCGCAATGCTGTGAGCCCGGGGATTTATTTTCCTTTTTACAGTAGGAGGCCTAACCAGCATTGTATTGGCCGAGGCTTATATTATGGTTCATTCATATATTTAGAAACCTGAAAGTTTCTAAATAAGTTGTAAAAAAGTTGTAAAAAAACCCCAGCTGAAATAACTACGAAGGTGCCTTTAATATTCTGAAGACAAAATAGCTAAGATCCAAACTGGGAGTAGATACCCCGCTATGCTTAACTCTAAACTCGAATAGTTAGATCAACAAAACTGTTCGCCAGAACACTACAAGCAACAGCTTAAAACTCAAAGGACTTGGCGGTGCTTTATATCCCTCTAAAGGAGGCTGTTCTATAATCGATAAACCCCAATTTACCTCACCACCTCTTGCCCAGCCTAAATACCTCCATCTTCAGCAAACCCTGGAAAGGCCGCAGAGTAAGCACAAGTATCTACATAAAAACTTTAGTTCAAGGTGTAGCCCATGAGGTGGCAAGAAATAGGAACGTTTTCTACATCCAGAAAAATGTCGCGACAACCGTTATGAAATCTAAGGGCTCAAGGAGGATTTAGCAATAAATTGAGAGCAGAGTGTTTAATTGAATAAGGCCATGAAGCATGCACACACCGCCCGTCACCCTCCTCAAATACATTCTAGAAACTCATTGTACACTCCCCTGTGATATTGTCCATAATATCCAGGGAGGGAGAGAATGATTTGATTTTTTTTTTTGAGACAGAGCCTTGCTCTGTCGCCCGGGTTGGAGTGCAGTGGCCTGATCTTGGCACACTGCAAGCACCGCCTCCCAGGTTCACACCATTCTCCTGCCTCAGCCTCCCTAGTAGCTGGGACTACAGGCGCCCGCCACCACGCCCGGCTAATTTTTTGTATTTTTAGTAGAGACGGGGTTTCACCATGTTAGCCAGGATGGTCTCGATCTCCTGACCTCGTGATCCGCCCGCCTCGGCTTCCCAAAGTGCTGGGATTACAGGTGTGAGCCACCGCTCCTGGCCAGAGAGAATGATTTTACTCCCCATATCGCAGGGGATTTACATTCCCCTGCATTATTTTTCGTAATATCCAGGGGGAAGATGAAGATGTTACTCCCCATATAGCATGGGAGAACAATTCCCTGCGATATTGTTCATAATATCTCTGGGGGAAAGAATTATATTTCTCCTTTTATCGCAGGAAGTGTACACCCCCTTGTGATATTGTTTATAATATCTAGTGGGGGAGAGGATGATGCTACTCCCCATATTGCAGGGGGTGTACAACCCCCTAGAATATTGTTCATAATATCCACGCGGGGAGGAGATGATGTTACTACCCATATCGCCAGGGTGTACTGCCCCCTGCCATATTGTTTGTAATATCCAGGCTGGGAAAGGATGATATTACTCCCTGTATCACAGGGGATGTACACACCCCTGTGATATTATTAGTAATATCCATGGGGGAGATAATACTACTTCCAATACCATAAACACCCTGTGTGTACACCCTCTGTGATATTGTTTGTAATATCCAGGGTGGGAGAGGAGTATATTACTCCCTATAAGGCAGAGTGTGTATACACCCCTCTGTGATATTGTTCATAATATCCACTGGGGGATATGATATTACTCCCAATATCATAAACACCTCACATGTACACCGTCTGTGATATTATTTGTAATATCCAGTGGGGGAGAAGATGATTTTACTTTCCACATTGCAGGGGTTTACACCCCTCTGTGATACAGTTTGTAATATCTAGAGGGGGAGAGGGTTATATTACTCCTCATATCTCAGGACATGTACACCCCCTGTGATATTGTTTGTAATATTGTTCCCAATATCCTTTTCCCCCATGGATATAGGAACAGTATCCCATAGGACGTGTACACCCCCTGCCATATTGGAAGTAGTAGTGTTTTCTCCCTTGCTGGACATTAGGAACAATACCATGGGGGGGTGCACACCCCCTGTGATATTGACAGTAATATAATCCACTATCCCCTAAATATAGGAACAATATCACAATGGTGATGTACACACTTGGTGATATTGAAAGTGATATGATCCTCTCCCCACCTGAATATTGGGAACAATATCACAGAAGGGGTGTACACCCCCTGCGATATTGACAGTAATATCCTCTCCCACCCCCGGATATTAGGAGCAATGTCACAGAAGGGTTGTACACTCCCTGCGATATTGACAGTAATATCCTCTCCTCCCCGGATATTAGGAACAATATCACAGAAGAGGTGTACACCCACTGTGATATTGACAGTAATTTCCTCTTCCCCCCCGGATATTAGGAACAATACCACGGGGGGTGTACACCCCCTGCGATATTGACAGTAATATCATCCTCTCCCCGCCAGATATTAGTAACAATATCACTGAAGGGGTCTACACCCCCTGTGATAGTGACAGTAATATCCTCTACCCCCCAGATATTAGGAACAATACCACGGGAGGATGTACACCCCCTGTGACATTGACAGTAATATAAACCTCTCCCCCCACCCTGGATATTAGGAAGAATACCACGGGGGGTGCACACCCCCTCTGATATTGGGAGTAATATCACCCACTATCCCCTAAATATTAGGAACAATATCACAGGGCGGGGAGTACACCCTCTGCAATATTGGGAGTAATGTCATTTCCCTGCCCCTGCATACTAGGAATAATATCACAAGGGATGTACACCCCCATATGCTCTTGGGAGTAACATCACTCTTTCTTCCCATGGATATTAGGAACAATATCACAGAAGTGGTGTACATACGCTGCACTGTATAGAATAAAGCAGGCGGAGGAAGATGGGATAACCTTGCTAGCTGAAGCTTCTGGCTCTCTTTTTTTCTTCTTCCCGTGCAGGACACTTGCTTCCCTTCTTCCTGCCCTCGGACATGAGACTCCAGGTTCTTATGCCTTTGGACTCTGGGACTTGCACCAGCGGCTTCCCCGAGGCTCTCAGGCCCTCGGCCTCATACTGAAGACTGCACTGCGGGCTTTCCTGGTTTTGAGGCTTTTGGACTTGGACTGAGCCACTACTAGCTTCTCTCTTTCCCTACCTGGCAGACAGCCTATTGTGGGACTGCCTTCTAACCGTGTGAACCAATTCTCTCTCGTAAACTCCCTTATACATATACCTGTATCTTGTTGGTTCTGTCCCTCTGGAGAACCCTGACTCATACATTTTGTTTATTTTTTCTCCATTGCCCTTTCCTCTGCTTCTAGGCTTACCTAGACCACCACCATTCTTTCCCCCTTTCTAAAGTAAAAATTGTCTTTTTCTCACTAAATTCATGGCATTCTGCCCGTTTTCCATGGCTTTCCTCAGCCCTGCTCTGTTTATTCTTGCTATCTTAAGAGGAAATCCCTGCCTCTTCCGTGGCTTTTCCCACTTGGTCTACATACTGGTTTCTGTTGTTCTCAGAGACACACTGGGACCTTTCACATCTCACTGTCACTTCTTGGAAGGGCTCTCTACCTCGTCTGCCTGCTGAGCAACCTCTTGGGGAGACGCGGGCCCTCTTGAGTCACTGAACTTGAGCTATTTGGTGTTGGTATGTTAATTTATCTTCTTAGACCACTTACCACTTCTTTAACTTCAAAAGAGAAGAATAAGTATTATTTTCCATGGTTGATATGAAGAGTAGAAATAACTTATACAAAATGCATTGCAGTTAAGTGATAATAAATGGCCGTGAATGCCCTTATTAATGTTATTCTATCAGTCTCGGCTCAGATACCATCTGCTCTGTAAGCTCTGCTCTGAATCATATCTGCTTCTTCTCTGGGTTCCTTGTGCTCTGTTCTTAACTACTTTAAAGCAGTAATTGTTCTGATTCTAATTAGTGATCCTTCCCAATAAAATTTTAAATTTGTAGATCTCTTCCCCCCACCCCTGCCCCAGCCTAACCAGTGTTTTCTTACTTTTTTGTGTACAGGCTACATCACTGGTCTTTCATTTGTGGCTAAATAAATGTTGTGTTAGAAGAGTAAAGAGTTCCCAGTTACATGGGATCTATAGTTCTACAAAATGAATGTATACATAATCCATGTAAATATTCCACTTATTTTAAAACAATTTTTTAATTTTTAAATTAAATTTAATTTGTGCATGTGTGTGAGACCAGAGTGAGACCAGAGATGGCGGCGGTGAGGGGCGGTGGTCTCACCATGTTGCCCAGGCTGGTCTTGAACTCCCCTTGAAGTGCCCCCCTCCTCACCTGGCCCCCCTCACCTTGCCTCCTCCCCCTCACTCCTATGCCAGTCCCTGCCATTCCCTACCCCCTCTGCTGACCGCAAGACTCAACAAGTGACTTGCTGAGCAAACCCTGCTGAGAAGAGGTCTGTTTAGGGACACAGGAGGCCAAGTACACAAAAAAGCAAAAGAACTAGCATGACTTTTTCAATGGATGTCTATTTTACAGGGCTGGCTTCAGATTATTGTTATAGCTTTAAATAAAAGGACCGTTTTGTCATCTCGGCCCATGGCCTACATTATTTCTTTACTGTCCATTGCCCTGGGCGCTTGACTAATAATTTAACAGCAATTTTTTTTTAAAATTTTAAATCATGATTCATCGCATTGCTGTAAGAGTAATTAGAGGTAAATTAGGGCTTGAAACTGCCTGTAGTGGGTTACTTTCTGAGATCTTAGCATAATTATCAGGTGAGAGGGTGAAGTTTTAATTAGCGCTAAGTGGGACAGAAATTCAATGCACTGAAACTACAGTGTCCAATTCAGTAGGCGCTAGCCACCTGTAACTATTGAGCACTTGAAATCCTGGCTAGTCCTAATTGAGATGTGTTGTGTTAAATATACTGGATTTTGTCATTGGAGTGGGAAGAACAGCGTAGAATATCTGCTTGATAATTTTTTATATTGATTACATGTTAAAATTATTACTATGTTTACTATTTGGGACATACTGAGTTAAGTATATTTAAAATTAATTTCACCTTTTAATGGGGCTTACTAGTACATTTAAAATTACATATGTGGCTCACATATTTATTGGACAGCACGGCTCTAGAAGTTTAGGAAGAAATAAGAAAAATATTGAGAATAGGTAGCAACAGTAGGAAGTTTGACCTCCTGTAAGACTGATTCCAATAAAACTAATAGGTGATAGTTTTAATTGGCTTTTTCCTACTAGAAAAAGTAAGTGTACTTTACATGTCTCTTTGTTCTCCCTCTTTCCCCTTCAATTTAGTGGTTAGCGTGTATTTACTATATCAGGCTTAATATTCACTAAGCAGTGTTAAGAAGACTTAGGTAAATGATTCCCTGATGAACACACTTGATTTTCAAAGCACTTTCCTAACCCATTTTTAATTGGAATAGAGTCAAAGGTAGATGGCTTATTATTAGTAATCTCATTTAAACCTCATGGAATTTTCCTGCTAAATCTCAAAGTAAACAATTTGTTATAGGCTGTTTTGTCAAGTGCATGGAAGGGACAGCATAAGACATGTGGTACTTCATTTCAAAATTGCTTGAGATGGTTTTCATTATAATCATACATTATTTGCTTCTGGTTTTCCAGAAAAGCCAGCTAAACCTGTGGTTCATTTAGATATAAATGAAATATCCTCAAAGGATTGCTCAAAGTGACTTATGCAACTTGAATATATATTTTTTTCTGTAGGGTGTTTATTCCAAATTATCTGGCCATTTGTGGCAATTTGCAGTTTTTTAGAAAACACCAAATATTTTTCAAGTTAGAGATGTTTTAATAAAAACAGTCATATTGAACTGGAAGCAGCCAAATAAAATGGTCCTTTATTTCACAGTTGAGAATTTGAAATTGGAAGGTAATTAACATATGTAAGGATGATGTATTTGCTGCCTGGCTTATAGGAATGAGCCAAGGTGTTTTTTGAGGGATGTTGTTGCTGTGTATGTCCCACCTATTTTGCTTCCTTAATGAACAATGCAAGTTTGAGACAGAAATATTTGAGAACATTTTTATCAGTTGCGACATTTTGATAGTGAACATTTTATATCTTCTGTAAACTTAAAATGTTTGCATCTTCTGTCTGCTTAAAATGTTTAATTTGTTATACCCAAATAATTTGGCTATAATTGATAATTTAATTTATCAAATTAAATTGTTTTTTTTTCCCTTTAGACTTTCTTCAGTCACATCTGAATAAATCACTTAGAAGTAAGCTAGATGTAATATAATGAAATGCTTAAAAGGGCTGTGTATCTTCATATTACACTTACAGTGACTTTCTGCTGTACCCATTATATTCTACCTGCAGCTAGTTGAGGTAAAGAGAGGGCATTTAACTGTCAAGGGGACCTGTTAGGAGACTGTAGAAATCTGGAAAATCTCTTGGGTCTTTGAGGGATTTTGGGATGCAGAGAGTGGGGCTGGGATCTCTGGCTAGGTTGGAGCCAGCCTGCATTTGTATCTTTATCTTGGAAGCAAACTTAGAATGCAGAGATAGATGTGGCCTGGATGCTGCTAACTCTAGCCAACCACTAAATCTTAAGGTGGGAGAGATGCAGGCTTTGGCTGGGTGCTAAGCTGCTGTAGCTGGTTGAATGTAGAGGTCACTATCTTTTCTGAATACTTGTAAGTAAATTAAATCATTCTCTACTCCTGTATGCCTGCCAACCAAATGGGAAATCGCTATAGAAAAGATGGCTTAAATTTTAGTCTTTGAAGTGGTTAATGCACGTTTCTGGAATCAAGATTTAATGTGGACTTGGATTGGATATTGAATATTTTTGATTTGTCTACTTTTCTCTCCATAGGGAGCTTATAGCTTCATTGCACTGTGTGTGACATTTGGGTCCTGTTTGGCAGCAATGACTGCCTTTCTGTTTAGTGTCTGTGTGCTATGAAGATTGCACACAGGGGTCCAGATGCATCCTGTTTTGAGAATGTTAATGGATACACCAGCTGCTGCTTTGGATTTCACCCATTGGCGGTTTCTATAAAAACTTTAGACACAGTGAGCCACTCTTCTCACGGAATGGTGGAAACCCTCCCAATTCCAATTTCCTAAACACCAGCCAAGGGCCAGCCTTGCATGCAGGCCTTTCTAAGGATGGCAGTCTCTTGCCTGTTATATGAAATCTTTTCTGCACACTTTGTATAACCCCAACTTAATTTTTGGTGTTGTTTTAAAATTTCATTTTAATAACATAATATTATAAGATAAGGTAACTTGGTACTAATTTCTGTTGTATGATCCATCTTAAGTTGCAGCGCTGGTTACTTTTTTGACTTTCAGTGACGAACAGCTATTTGTACATAAGTTACCATAGCAATTTAGGTAATTATAATCTGTCCTATTTATCTCATTTACCTTTCAGTAAAATTGTTAAATAAGCAAAATAATTTCTGAGTTAAAATTAGAATAAAAATTGTCTTTTATTTGGATTACATGAATAATCTAGTTTTCATATTGTGCTAAAGCCCTGCTTAGAATTATGAAATAAGATAAAATATTCAATCATTTTTATCAATATTTTCTTACCTAAGCATGCAATTAAATTTATTTATTTTATATACTTCAATTTGAGAAATAATGACCACATGTTGTTACTTTGGTCTTCAATGATCTCTAATTTTTAGGGTCGCCATGTCTTGCTTAAATATATCATAGTAACAGGTTCAGTGAATATCTTTATTTTTAATTTTATTTACTTATTTTTTTTTGAGACAGAGTTTTGCTCTTGTTGACCAGGCTGCAGTGCAATGACACAATCTTGGATCATTGCAACCTCCACCTCCCAGGTTCAAATGATTCTCCTGCCTCAGCCTCCCAGGTACCTGGAACTACAGGCATGCACCATCATGCCCGGCTAATTTTTTATATTCAGTAGAGATGAGGTTTTACCATGTTAGTCAGACTGGTCTCGAACTCCTGACCTCAGGTGATCCACCCACCTCAGCCTCTCAAAGTGCTGGGATTACAGACTTGAGCCACTGCCCCCAGCCATCTTTTTTATTTATTTATTTTAATTGTTGTTCTGGAAATCCTGGGATGCATAGACAGTGAATATCTTTTTTGTTTTTTGAGACAGAATCTCACTCTGTCTCCCAGGCTGCAGTGCAGTGGTGCTATCTTGGTTAACTGCAACCTCTGCTTTCTAGGCTCAAGCGATTCTCCTGCCTCAGCCTCCCGGGTAGCTGAAATTACAGGTGCCAGCTACCATGCCCAGCTAATTTTTGTATTTTTATTAGAGATGAGGTTTTGCCATGTTGGCCAGGCTGGTCTTGAACTCCTGACCTCAGGTGATCCACCCACCTTTGCCTCCCAAAGTGCTGAGATTACAGGCATGAGCCACTGAGCCCAGCTGAATATTTTTTTTTAAATCAATAACCTTATTTCTTAGAGTAGTTTTAGGTTCACAGCAAAATTGAGAGGAAGGTACAGAGATTTCTCATATATCCCATGCCTCCCACACACGCATAGCCTCCCCCATTATTAGTATTTTCCACCAGAGAGTGGTCCATTTGTTACAACTGATGAACTTACATTGACACATTATAATCACTTGAAGTTCATAGTTTACATCAGGCCTCACTCTTGATGCTGTACATTCTGTGAATTTGGACAAATATATAATGACATGACATGTATCTATTACTGTAATATTATCGACAGAACAGTTTCACTGCCCTAAAAATTCTCTGTGCTATGCCTGTTCATCTCTCCCTTTCTCCCTAGCAACTCGTGACAACCATTGATGTTTACTCTGTCTTCATAGTTTTACTTTTTTCAGAAGAGTCATATAGTTGGAATAAGAAGAGTGGATATCTTTTTGAGTAGTTAAAAAATTAAAGCTCCATGGCAGTTGAATGTAGTCATTTAAGATGTTCTTTGTCCTTTTGTTTTTCTTTTGCTTCTTTATCATTGTAAAGAATGATGTATTCTGATGAGATATGATTTACATACTTAGAAAACATGATTTGTATAGATATGTGGCACATAATAGAAAGGGTTGAGGAAAAGGACACCACGCCGTACTACACAGCACAACCTGGAGCATCTTGCTCTGTGAGGTGGGTCCAGATAGACTCTTTAGCAATGGAAGAGGACAAGTGCAAAGTGTTGTGCTTTATAAAACTGGAATCACAAAGTCTTTCATACTTACCTTCGGTTGGAAATAAGACCAGGCAGTGAATGCTATTAGGTAAATACATAAGTTCCTCACTGATCCTCTTCCTTTGAGGGATGAGGTTGACAACAGCCTGTATTATGATGGCATGACTCACCTACAACTAGATTCTGTCATGAGAGATGACAAGGGAGTTTTGCTTTATGCGAGGTGAAAAAATTTTTTTCTCCTACTAGGGAGATGGGCAAACATTAGAACATTCTGGTAGTAAAAGGGCATTGATAGTTTCCTTTCTATATATTTTTTCACATCAGATAATATTGCCCGGCAGCCTGCCATACCTCCCCAGTGTTTATTCAGCTTCTCTCTGAATGTGGATAAGCTCTTAAAGGAGTGATCTTTCCAGTGGTTCTTTCTGTGGGAGGTAAAATGGCAGGTGAATTTGGGGCTTGTTATACGTAGGCCAGAGCAAATAGCTACAACTAAGGAAACCACCCAGCACCTTACCCAGAAGAGTATTAGCCAGAGTAACACACTGATCTCTCTTGAGATCTTCTCCACTGGTGGCTGGAAAGTATTTGCAAGGATTCCTGTTTCTGGTCTGATTCCTATGTTTTGTTGGTTTCTGGCGATAGCATGTTTTATTCTAAACTAAACAGTTTGATCTGAAGAGCTAGAGAGGCTGTGTGGTGTTATAACAAAATAAGTGCAGTAACTACACCTTAACTGTGGGAGATACATTTCAAGACCCCCAGTGCATGCATGAAACCATGAATATTACTGAATCACAAGCTGTTTTTCCCTATACATACATATCTATGACAAAGTTTAATTTATAAATTAAATTAAATCTGATGTTATCTGTAGATAGGGTGTGAGAATTGAATTGTGTCATCAGCAGGAATGATTGCTTGTTTGTTGGTGGGGAAAAACTCTCCACACATTTGGTTACAGAAGCCTTCTTTGTTGATGATTGTTGCTGTGGTGTGACAGCAGAGAAAAACGTGTCAAGTATGTCTTTCTGCGCATATAGTGGATAAGGGGTACTAGTGTATACTCTGTTGTAATGGCCCCTCATATTTTGGTCCAGAAATCATGCTCTTTGACACTGTTGACTCATCACACCTGTTCTGCTAACAATACCATTTTTACTCAATCTCATAGGCTTTGGCTAGGATGACTTGTATACTTCAGTTCACTTGTAGATACCAAATTTTAATAAATTTATTCTTCTTTGCATCTAATAAATACAGAGGGAAGAGTTCTTACTGCATTAATTACCTACCAATACTTATAATGAATGTTAATTCTAATAAGTTCCCAGGCATGCTCCCAAAGGAATGCTTTGTAACAAAACGTCAGTCTTATGCTTTAAAAAACCAAACCAAACCAAAACAACAACAACAACAAAAAACAGGATCTAAAGCATACACACAAGTGTGCACAATTTTTTTATGAAGGTAGAGTCTTACTATGTTTCCCAAGCTGGTCTCAAACTTCTGGGCTCCTCAAGTGATCCTCCTGCCTCATCCTCCCAAGTAGTTTGGATTAGAGGCATGCATCACTGTGCATTCTTATGATTTTAATATTCTGTACATTTATTATTGATTTAAAATGCATTTTACCTTTTTCTTTAATAGATGTTGGAATTTCTGATGAATCTGCAGTCAGGTAAGATTTCATAGATTTAAAAAATTATGTTAACTAAGAAAATATAGATGGAAGAAACTAATATCTGTTGAGTGTTGTATTCTGGGCTAGACATCCTAATATGTTCTATGCATTTATCATCTCATAAAGCCATCATAACATCTGTGTTCCTATAACCTACTGTTAAATAAACAACTATGGATTAGAGCTGATTAATTGCCTCATGATCCCATAGTTAACAAAGTAGCTGGCCTACAGTTTGACCATCAGCCTGCCTGCCTTCCAAATCCTTTCTCTTGCTCCTCAGCATAGATTGATAGATATCTGTGCAGCCCTTGGATCATAGTATAGGTCTGAATCAGATCAATCAGATTCATTAATTTGATTAACTTCTAAATTAATGAGAGTTTAAATACCTTGAACTCTCATTTAAGTTTATTGTTAGAATGTGGTTAGTCCTAATAAATTTGACGATTTCAGTGTAACCAGTATCTTATTTTTACCTTCAAAGGCTCTAGGGCAGATCTGACTTAGCTTTGGCCATAGGACTGTAAGTTTTACCAAAGCAAGTTTAGGCAAGTCTTAGAGACAAATTATTTGACTTCACAGTTTGGCTTTCCATTTAGGCAAGTATTTCTGCTTACTTCCATAATACATTTTTTAGTCCTGTTGCTTTTTCCATGACTTTTATATAATCTTGTCCTCATTTTTTAAAACTTTCTTCTCTGTTTTTCTTGGTGTTTCTTTTGTTCTATTATTTTTTCAAACTCTGCTGCCTATGTATTCCAAGTTTTTCTATAGACAGAATCAAGAGGACATAGAATTACAGAATTTTAAGGAATCTTGGAATGAATTAAAATACCTTCTAGTATTTTTCTCTGCGTTGAACATTCTGGTCAAGTGATTCTCTAGATAGAGAATGTGAGGCTCAAAGAGATTACGAAGCTTTTTTTTAGACATAGGAATTGGCAGAAATGAGATTTGAACTCATGGTAAAGCCCAGTACTCTTGCTTCTTTCTATGTCCTATTAGCGTGTGTTTTAATAATACAAACGGGAGTGAGTCTGTGGATAGAATGAGAATGGAATTAGCTGGTGAACCCAATGGAAGTAGATAAGAATGGAATGAGCAGGGGAAGTCCAAGTTTGAAGATAAACAACACTGGATTGGATAGGAGTACGGACTCTTCTACAAGAGATCAAAGTATTGGGGTTTATGACAAGTTTGATAAAGATAAATTATAAAAATGAAGGACACAAGATGTTGGGAATTATCTACAAAGGCACATTAAAATAGAAGGTTCAAGGGAGCTCTAAAAATTTTGCTGCTTTTTTTTTTTTAAATCAAGGACTGACAAACTTGAAGATTTTTACTGAAAGATGCCAAAACATTTTGAGACACTGGGAAGAATGTCTACAGCAGATAGAAATGTGGTGTCATCTACTTCCATCCTGACTTACAAAGGGGTGGCTTAGAGCCCCTGGAGTACTAAGGGGATGGAAATTGCTGAACTACATAGATGTGTGGCACAGGGCAGGTGTCTCCTCACCTCTGCCTCTTTTCACAGTTCACTGATGTCCTTCCCATGTCCATGTGGGCTGGGTCAGGGGCATGATTAGCTGGAAAATCAGTCATGGAGTTCAGTTGGGTAGTTGGTAGTGTGTATAGCTGGTGGCAGGTGATGGAGACTCCAGTTAGCTTGTTTTTCAGGAGCAGGGATATAGAGAGCTCCTACTCCTGGTCATTTGAGGCCATTCTTTCAGGAATCTGTGCTTTCATACACTGAAGATTTAAAGATTGGAGACTTCTGTGGAACCCTGCAGAAGTAGAATCTGGAAGTGGGTGTCCATAGGAAGAAATATACTTAGATAGTACTTAGGGAAATAGAGGTACAACTATCATGACTCTGTTTCTTTTCTGGCAGTCTCTCTCCTTGGGTGTCTGAGTGCCTATGAAAATTTTTAAGGGATTGCTAGTTTATGTGGACCTGAATAAGGTAGGACCTATAGAGTGAAAATAATGGGATTTTATAATTGTGAATATTTTAATCTTTCTGGGAAAAGTATTCTCAATAAGAACATACATCTTTGCTATTTGACTTCTGTACATTTAGCTTTCATACATTTCAAATATTGTGGGGGTTTTCCTGTACCAATTTAGGGTAAAGGAAAGCAATAGGACCTTCCTAAGTTGGATCCATGCTGAGGAATCAAGACTACCATTTTGAAGTGATGTAGATTAGTCTTTTATCCAGAGACAGATCATGGAAAAGAGACAGTGGATCTTTCTACCTTGTTTTAGGTCATCAGTTTTATTCCAGTTTAGGGAACAAAATTTATGTCATCCATTAATTGAATTTTAAGTTCAGCTTCAGGACAGATAATTTGTGAGGGCACATTATTGTCAGGCTCTGCCAATATATTGACTGTCACTATTTGTTATAAACCTCAAGGTTAGTTTTCATTGAATATTTTATAGATTTAGACAGGTGGAGGCAGAAATAGGTAACTAAAATCTCTTTTTAGAACAGAGGACATATTTTAATTATATCAAGAATCGTAATTTAATATATAGATCACTGACTTTTCCCCAGATTATGTTTTCCTTTTTTTGAGGGGGAAGCTGGATATAAACTGGCAGTTAAAAAAATTGTAAAGAAATCAACTTGCTCATTTTCATTGTGTATTTTTGCTCTCAAGCATTTTGCATGAACTGTGTGTGGATTCATTGCCTACATTGGATGATGAAGACTTGAGTGTTGCTACTAAGGTAAAGTGGTCTCTTGTAAAATTAATCTTCTCACTCTGGGTGTAGTTTTGCATAGTATTTACTTTTCAAATTTAGCAGTGGTTTACCTATCATTGTTTTATGGTGGTAATGGAAAGCTGGTCAGAGAAAAACATACACATGGCTAGTTGATTCAAAAAATGTGTTTAACTTTGGTAACTAATAAAGATTGGTAAGTACTGTGACAGGGTGGGAGCTGAAAAATAAATGAACTGGAAAATAAGTAGTCACAGGAAAATCACATTAGGAAATGCTTTCTCCAATAGAAGAAATATGAACTTTGGTTAAAGTTTATTTGGATAAATACTAATACTTTGACTTTTAAATCATACGAGTGTGACTTTCTTAATATTTATTCCTGTATAAACCTTCAGTGGATCAAATTGTTTGCAGTAATCATGGAATCCTCCTGGTAATTTTTAGTGGCAGAAATGTTCAGCACATAGCATATAGCTTTTGTTCTTGGAAACTTATCATTTTGGTGTCATATAGTTTTTAGGAGAGATTGTTTCTCTACTTATATTATTGGTTCTGTAGTGAGACTAAAAAAGTATTAAAAGTTGTAGAAAAATAGCTGAGTTTGGTGGTGTACACCTGTAGTCCCTGCTACTTGGGAGTTTGAGACAGTAAGATTGCTTGAACACAGGAGTTTGAGAACAGCCTGGGTAACATTGTATCTGATTTAAAAATATAAATTGTGGAAATGTAGAAATTTAAATTTATGTTCTCAAGATTTGTATTGCAAAGGGATTTTTATGTGATTTATGAGTTGTCCATGAAGAGTTTATATAAAACACTTCATCTAATTGAATAACATGTATTTTCCTGCAAATAACCAGTTCTAGAAGCAGAGACTCTTAATACCAATATGGTAAGTCTTTATCATCATAATTTTGTCATTGTAGTTTATTTAAAATATTTACTTGGCCAGGCGTGGTGGCTCACACCTGTAATCCCAGCACTTTTGGAGGCCGAGGTGGGTAGCTCACCTGAGGTCAGGAGTTCAAGATCAGCCTGGCCAGCATGGTGAAACCCTGTCTCTTAAAAAAAAAAAAAAAAGCACAAAAATTATCCAAGCATGATAGTGCATGCCTGTAATCCCAGTTGCTCAGGAGGCTAAGGCAGGAGAATCGCTTGAACCCAGGAGGCAAAGATTGCAGTGAGCCAAGATCGCACCATTGCACTGTAGGCTGGGTGACAGAGCAAGACTACATCTTAAAAAATAAAATAAAATAAAATAACCACTCAAAGTCCTTATATCATATTCTGAAAGTTTGAATGTCAGAAGGTTTTCTATTTAGTTTTTTAAATGATCATTGGAAGCTCCTGCATACCATAAGCTACTGGAGGTCAGTAAACATATTTGTGTGTATCCTGGAGTACCTAGAATACAGTCTTCCATGTAAGAAGCATTTTACTTGTTGTTTTTTGAGATGGGGTTTCACTCTGTCACCCAGGCTGGAGGGCACTGGTGAGATCTTGGCTCACTCTGATCTCCATTTCCTAGGCTCAGGTGATCCTCACACCTCAGCCATCCAAGTAGTTGAAACAATAGAGCTATGTCACCATAGACCTGTGTCACCATGCTGGGCTGAGTTTTGTAGAGATAGGGTTTTGCCTTGTTGCCCAGGCTCTTCTTTAATTGTTGGGCTCAAATGTTCTGCTCGCCTCAGCCTCTCAAAGTGCTGGGGTTACAGACATGAGACATTCAGCCTTAATAGTTGTTTAATCTGAATAAATAAACAAATGAATTTTTATATAATGGAATGTTATAAGTAATATAATAAACCTAATGTATCTAATCATTAAATATTGTATTTAAAATATTGCTTACATTGTATTATTTTTTAATATTTAACGGTGTATAAGTTTTGACATGTTATGTTGAGAATTTATGCCATAATTAAAAAGGAAATAAAATAGAAATAGGTCATCGGTAGCAAAGAGGGTTACAATATATTTTCTAGTATCATTCAACTGGAATCTTAACATTGAGATTTTAGATTAATATTTCTTAAGCTTTTTATTAGACCCAACTCATGTTCCATTAAATACACCATTTCAAGCCATACATTACTCTTTATTATTATTATTATACTTTAAGTTCTAGGGTACATGTGCACAACGTGCAGGTTTGTTAAATATGTATACATGTGCCATGTTGGTGTGCTGCACCCATTAACTCGTCATTTATACTAGGTATATCTCTTAATGCTATTCCTCCCCTCTCCCCCCACCCCATGACAGGCCATGGTGTGTGATGTTCCCCATCCTGTGTCCAAGTGTTCTCATTTTTCAGTTCCCACCTATGAGTGAGAACATGTGGTGTTTGGTTTTCTGTCCTTGGAACAGTTTGCTCAGAATGATGGTTTCCAGCTTCATCCATGTCCCTACAAAGGACATGAACTCATCATTTTTTATGCTGCATAGTATTCCATGGTGTGTAAGTGCCACATTTTCTTAATCCAGTCTATCATTGATGGGCATATGGGTTGGTTCCAAGTCTTTGCTATTATGAATAGTGCTGCAATAAACATACATGTGCATGTGTCTTTATAGCAGCATGATTTATAATCCTTTGCATATATATCCAGTAATGGGATGGCTGGATCAAACAGTATTTCTAATTCTTGATCCTTGAGGAATCTCCACACTGTCTTCCACAATGGTTGAACTAGTTTACAGTCCCACCAACAGTGTAAAAGTATTCCTATTTCTCCACATCCTCTCCAGCACCTGTTGTTTCCTGACTTTTTAATGATTGCCATTCTAACTGGTGTGAAATGATATCTCATAGTGGTTTCGATTTGCATTTCTCTGATGGCCAGTGATGATGAGCATTTTTTCATGTGTCTGCCATACATTACTCTTTAGAATTCTGGTGACCAATTCTTTTTCTGGGTGGAAAGTTGATGGAAAGTTCCAGTTTTCTCTCTCTGTTATAATAATGTTCTTTCAGGTAATGGTAGATGACCATATTTAGCTAATTGAATGTCTTATAGTAAGAAACACTATCACAGAAGTACTTACAAAAAACTAATTGCAGCATAAATATTAATTAGTATTATCAGAGTTATGAAAGACCGAAGGCTCTGTTATAGATCTATTTCCCCATGTACTTTATTGTACTTCATGTTTTTCGTTTTCTTTCTTGGCTTAAGCTCATATTTCATTGACTAATTAGGCTTGTTTTTTGTTTGTATCTCTCTTTTAAATTGAAATTTTTGGGGAGGCAGGGTCTTGCTCTGTTGTCCATGCTGTAGTGTAGTGGCATGATCTTGGCTCACTGCTGTATCCACTTCTCAGGCTCAAGTGATCCTCCCACATCAGCTTCCCAAGCAGCTGGGACTACAGGCACACACCTTCATGCCTGACTCCTTTTGGTATTTTTTGTGTAGAGATGTGTTCTCATTATGTTGCCCAGGCTGGTCTCCAACTCCTGAACTCAAGCAATCCACCCACCTTGGCCTTGCAAAGGGCTGAGATTACAGGTGTGAGCCACCATGCCTGGGCAACATTGAGATTGATTTAAAGAAATTGATTAGGGCTGGGTGTGGTGGTGCACACTGCTTATCTCAACATTTTGGGAGGCAGAAGTGGAAGATTTGCTTGAGCCCAGGAGCTTGAGACCAGCCTGGGAGGTATAATGAGGCCTTGTCTCTACAAAGATAACAATAAAAACATTAGCATGACATGATGGTATGCACCTGTAGTTCCAGCTATTCAGGAAGTTGAGGTGGGAAGATTGCTTGAGGTCAGGAGTTTGAGACCACAGTGAGCCATAATCAGGCCCCTGCATTCTAGCCCTGGGTTGACAGAGTGAGACCCAGTTTCATAAAAAGAGATTGATAAGAAACTCTTGATGCAACTCATTATAATTTTAAATGGAAACTAATTCTTGATATTACCTTAGCAGTGTGTCCCCGAGAAAGTGTCAGAGCCTTTACGTGGACCTTCTCATGAAAAAGGAAACAGAATAGTCAATGGAAAAGGAAAAGGTGAGAACCGTATTTTATTTAAAAAGTCATTTGATGGAGACCAGGCGCGGTGGCTCACGCCTGTAATTCCAGCACTTTGGGAGCCCTAGGTGGGCGGGTAATGAGGTCAGGAGATCAAGACCATCCTGGCTAACATGGTGAAACCCCATCTCTACTAAAAACACGAAAAATTAGCCGGGCATGGTGGCGGGTGCCTGTAGTCTCAGCAACTCAGGAGGCTGAGGCAGGAGGATGGTGTGAACCTGGGAGGTGGAGCTTGCAGTGAGCGGAGATCGTGCCACTGCACTCCAGCCTGGGTGACAGAGTGAGACTCCATCTCAAAAAAAAAAGGCATTGATGGAATGTTTCTTTTAAAATATGAGCACTAATAGAGTTTAATAGCTAAAGAAAATGTCCTATTAACTGTATCATAAGTAAAAGATAAATGAAATGGTGATAAGTGGTGTCTCTAACCAAGGGTCAGCAGTTGATTCTATTGGAAGTACCACTAAAGGAGGTGAGTTATGAGTTCCATTTTAACATACTCTAAGACCTGAGGCAAGTCAGGAGAGAGGGAAGAGGAAATGAATAAAAGAGAAAGAAAGAATGAGGAGGGCAGAGTGTACATGGAATAAATAAAAAAAAGTGGATGTATGTAATGGAGGGTAGTAAAGTCAAATTGATCTGTAGAAGAAGGAAGAACAGGGTGTTAGAAATAGGAAGGAAGATAAAGTGAGCTTCCAGTACCAAAATGTGTCATATAATTACAGTAACATTTTCCTTCTCTTGCTGTCATTCTCGCTACTGGGGAGGCATTAAGGATTGAGGTACTTTACCATGCAGACCTGTGTTTTATCTACCATAGATGAACATCACCATAAATGGTCAGCCATGTATGACTGTAATTTGTTTTCATAGAAAATGTTGTAACTTCATAGGATAGTATCATATTAACATAATTGAAAAGAATAGTGTTGGGTGATTTATTGGGAAGAAATTAATTAGAGAAGCTTTGCCTGATTAAAAGTTCATTAGAAACATTATGGCTTATAACGTAGTATTAAATTCAGGGACATAATAGGAAAGAAGTTGAGGCTAGGCCAAAAAGGCCAATTAGGGTAAACCAATATGGAAGCACACCAGTGTAGAACAAGGCATTCAAATTGTCATGAATACGTTGAGGAGCTTCTGGAAAGTGCACATTCTGACTCAGCAGGTATTGGAGTCTGCATTTCTCATGAGCACTCAGGTGATGTTTGTGCTGGTCCTTGGACACAGCTCTGAGTAGCAAGGGAATAGCCTTCCTTTAGAGAAATCTGGAAAAAGAACCACTGGAGAGCAATTTAAAAGATAACAGAATCCAGGGAAAGCTTTAATTTCCTTTTATTTCTGAGCATGATTCTAGCCACAGGGGAAGGAAAATGAGATGAAAAAAGAGAGATTACAGGTGTATACTACTGCTGAATACAGATGAAAAAAGTGGTCACAATCATCCATAAAAAGCAGTTAGGAAGGGAAGCATCAGGATGACAGTTCTGATAATCATTTTTTCAAAGGAAGAGGGATGGTGAAAGGACACAAAAGGAGGAAAGAAAGACATTTGCTGGGGTCTTGGGAGTTAAAGCCAAGTTAACTTGAGACAACTCACTTCCAGTTGCTTCAGCATATGCCCAGTCTCACAAAAGAGGTTATTGCTGTGGAGAGTACTGGAGACAGGAGGGAGTGCTAGAGTTGGGGTAAACCACAGCAGCTCATTTCACTTGATAACTGTCAGGCCTCAGGGAGAGAAGTTTCACTGACATGAGTGAATAAGATATGATTAAGTTGCATATAGATGCTTTGGTGAAATTTTTTTGAGACAGCCAGTTCTTCGATATGATAGCTGTTTTATAAAAGTCCTTTACAGTGTAAGATAATATACCAAACTCAGTTAATTTTAGAAGTAATCATAAAATTCATTCCATGAAAACCAAAATTATCATTTTCAATAAATACTGCACTGATTTTGAAATATAAATATGTATTAATATCCAGCAAGTCTGTGGTCATTCAATGTTTTCTTTTTTGATAAATATTTTCATATCAGAAGCTTATTCGACATGGTTTATTTGATGTGTTTTATGGACCACCTTGCATGAGTGGATCAAGGAGCTCTAATTCAAGGCCAAATGAGGGGATAGGAGAAATGTAGGTGCTGCAGTAGCCCATGTGATCATGGGAAAAATGAGTAGTTTGATTAGCTGTTATTTCATAAGTGTGTATCCTAGCTGATCAATGTAGAACCCTTTCTTTGATGAGAGGTGAATCACACATTCACCTGAACTGTCATCCCAACTGCGTATTTCCTCAGTGACAAGACAAGGGGAATTTATTTGTGCTGTGCTGGCAGCAATGCCTCTGGTGTGTGGAGTTAAAATACTCTGTACATTCACCATCAGCTTTGACATTGATTCTCTCAGGTTTGATTTGCCCCTCTGTTTAATGGTCCCTTTTCTCCTCATCAGTCCACATGTTCACGGTTATATCAATGCTTTTCTATTTTAAGTATAGGCATTTGAAACATAATCTCACTACTGAAATATAAACTGTGCATTTTGGGAATCCTATATTCCTATTTTCCTCATTGTGTTTCTGTCATGTTGCTGTCCTAGGCAATGAAAAGAAGAAGCCAAGAAGAACCCTCAAAACCTTAAGTAATTATTTTTATAGCCAGACCTGAGAATTCAGCTCGACAGTAACACTGCATGAATGTTTGGTTGGCCTTGTCATACTTACATATAATTGATGACATATCCCCTTTGCTTTGTAGGGCCTCCTGCAAAACATCCTTCCTTGAAGGTAATTAATTATGTATATTTTTGAATCACTAACTCCATGTTGTATAAAATATATATGATTTATGAATCGTTATCTTTTAAAACCCATTCAGCCTAGCACTGAAGTGGAAGATCCTGCTGTGAAAGGAGCAGTACAAAGAAAGAATGTACAGACATTGAGAGCAGGTACATTTAATGGAATACTGGAAATAAAGTACATTCAATGATTGGATGTACTCATATTATTCTTATTCCTAATTCTATTTGTTCAATATTGAACAGAAGGCATTGACATAAATGTTATTGTTGGTATCCATATTTGAATAAAAACAAATTTAGAAGCATAAAAAAGATTTTAAAAATGTAAGCTTTAAGTCAGATGTTTCTGTTTAAATGTTTTGAATAGCATGAAGTTTTCAGTATAAAATTTTTATACTTGTCAGGGATTCAAAGCAGTGAATTTTGAGACTCTTAAGATATTTCCAGTGAGTTAAGTGCTAGTTGGAGTTCTGATCTTTACCTAGAGGAAAGCTTTACTTATTAAAGTGTCAGTTTCTGTTTTAACTTCAGAGGCTTGCTGCTAGTGTTATTACACTGATGATCTGAAGCCTATCAGATGTTCTAATGAGCAAGACTGTGTGTGTAGGTGTATATATAGATGTGTGTATGCGTGCGCTTGTGGCATCTTTGACTATTACAAATGACGAAAGTAATGATTCATTTATGACTGGTAGACACAGTCTTTTAAAATGGTGATTTTGAGCCTTTTTGGTGTTAAAGTTTTTAAAACATGATTGCATAGAGGCTACCAACATCATAAGTTGGTTGTTTTTCATTTCAATGCCCTTTTGAAATCTTTAATTACATTGTGATGCTCAGAAATAATATGCAGAATTTTTTGTGTCCTAAAATGGTATGTGAGTGGTTATACACTTTATATACCTTTCTGCCACTTTCTTTGGTGTGTTTTGTATTATATTTTCCACTTGTACCCACATTGGTGTGATTATCCCTGGTTTAATTCATTTTACACTGTTCATTGTATTCCCTCATACCACTTTACCACATTTAGTTAGACTCTCCTGTTGCTGATAAATGAAGAAATAAAAAGAAAAATAATGTCAGATTAAGAGGGCTTTTCTTTAATTGGTTTGTATCTATTAGCGTTTACTATATGAGAGTTTAAACCTGAAAAGTTCAGAATACAAGCATACACCACCATATTTTATTAATACCCTTAGAACTATGACTCATGAGCCTTTAGCCTATGAAGTTAGCACAATTCATTTCTCTGAAGAAGAATGCTGGGCTGTTCTCAGAAAAGAAAACTGAAAATAGCAAATGATATTGTCTTATTTTACCTCTTGGACATCCTTGAATGAAACTGCTACTAAAGGGATACTCGGATCAAAATTCAGATCTAATGTTTTGAACAGTATAGTTTGTGAATGTCCAGTGATCATGAGCCCTTGATGGGGAAATGACCCTTCGAGTTTCACTTTTGCATTCTCTTTTCGTTGACTTGTCTTGAAAGCTTAAATTCAACTATTTTATTTTTACAGAAACCAGGAATATAACTTTTAAAATATATGTCTGTCCTGTCTCACGGTGTTGTGTACTCTTCAGATCTTGTATGAACATAGACTTATATGGGAAAAATTAGGTTGTTTGTTTATTTGTGTTTTTGAGACAGAGTCTTGCTCTGTCACCAAGGCTGGAGTGCAGTGGCTCAGTCTTGGCTCATTACCACCTCTGCCTCTCGGGTTCAAGCAATTCTCCTGCCTCAGCCCCTCGAGTAGCTGATACTACTTGCACGTGCTACCATACCCTGCTAATTTTTCTATTTTTAGTAGAGATGGGGTTTCACCAGGTTGGCCAGGCTGCTCTTGAACTCCTGACCTCAGGTGATCTGCCCACCTCAGCTTGCCAATGTGCTGGGATTACAGGTGGGAGTCATTGTGCCAGCTACAAATAAGATTTTTAAGGCTATTATACTTTATACAATTCTTTGGTCTATGTGAATTCTGAAGGTATTCATGCATTGAGGGAAGATTATCTCAGTTTAATGAAAGCATTTTTTAATTTAACGTATATTCATTAAAATTTTTTTTGAAGTTTTTGTCTCTAGTACACAGAAACACACAATAATGTCATGGGTATTTGACCTTAATGTGTTTATGCACAAACTTAGTTATTGAAATATTTTCTTATACCTGAAGAATCTTAATTACTAATAAACAAATTTCTCATGGAAAACAACATATATAACAGAGATGGTTGAGTGATTGAAAGTAAACTGTAGTAAATACCAGAAGCTTAGAACAAGTTAAGTAAACTTTTCTGAGTTAATAGCAATTACAAGACTTTTAAAATACATTAGACCACGGGGGAGTAGTGCATTTGTGGGGTAGAGGACAACATGGTACTGCTTCAGTGAAGAAAGAACTTTTACACCTTATTACAATTTGTATTATTATTTACATTCTAATAAATAAAAACTTTATTTTCAGATATTTTACATCATGTTTCTACTAGTTGAACCATCAATAGTAAGACTTTTCAAAGATTTGGGAAGTTGTGAGTTGATGATAAATATCTGTATCACCATCAGTGATAAAAATCAGACAGCAACTACCACAGATTTTGGACACGCGAACTTCATAGTTAAAGAAAGGATTAATCTTGGAGCTGTGTTTCTATCAAGGAATTACACTCTTCTTTACCTGTGTGAATCGCAGTTATTAGAGTAGAAAGAGAGCAAAGAAGGGAAAGAAGCATAGAAAATTTTATTCTAGATTACCTCGTTTGGCTTCATGCTACCATAGTTCTGACTTTTAAAAAGTCATTTTGTGGTCAAATGTACTTTGTGTTTACTCCCCTTATGCAGCCTACAACCAAACAGAATGGTTCTTAGCAAGGCATTTGTATTCTTCCCTTAAGGAAAGCAACATATAAATAACAAAGAGAATGGGAAGAAAGAGTGATTTCATTGAGGTTGGTATTTAACATAAATTTGAGTGCAGGTACCATGATTATATTTAGAATTTTGTGGCTGGATGGGAAAACCAGCTAGATGTCTATAGATTTCCTACTCAAACACAATGTGCCTTTGTTTTACTTTTACGTCTCTAATTTAGCAATTATTAGGTACAACTGTATGCAGTGCCACTAAAAATACCTCCCAAAACCAAATATTAAATAATGTCTATGGCTTTCTGTTTTATAGTGTTGATTTTTGCAATATTAATGGGAACCACTTAGCATTTGCCTTGTGGTGTCTCCTCAGCTGTATTCACATATTCCATCACCTTTTCTTAATGGATAATCATGCACTATGAGTAAGGGTTTTCAGAAAAGCTGTGCCTTTTAAAGATAACACAGGAGCATCAAATTTAATTCTGCTAGGACGCCTGGTCTACTGATTAACTGCAGCTAATATGAGGTCTACTTCACATCCAAGTTAAATTCAGTGCCCTTAATCAGTCATATGATGAGGTCAACAGTAATAAATTATGCAATATTTTTTCACCCACCCCTATAGTTTTAATTTCTTTTTCCCCTTGTGTCTGTGTTTAACATTTTGCTTTGCAAAACATGATGATAATCTTCTAAAGTAGTGAGGACAAGCTATAAATCCAAAGTTTCTTACCTATGCAAATGACTTGTTTGCTCTATTTTCTCATGAGCTTGGTAGATCCAGGAAACATAACTTTTAAAACAAAATCCCCATATATTGCTGGGTGTGGTGGCTAGTGCCTGTAATCCAGCACTTTGGGAGTCTGAGACGGGCAGATAACCTGAGGTTGGGAGTTTGAGACCAGCCTGACCAACATGGAGAAACCCATCTCTACTAAAAACACAAAATTAGCTGTTCATGGTGGCACATGCCTGTAATTCCAGCTACTAGGGAGGCTGAGGCAGGAGAATCACTTGAACCCAGGAGGCAGAGGTTGCCATGAGCTGAGATCACACCACTGCACTTCAGACTGGGCAGGAAGAGTGAAATTCCATCTCAAAAAACAAAAACAACCACAACCACAACAACCACCACAAAACCCAAATGCATTTCCTTGGCACAGTAAAACTGAAAAGAAAAAGGGTAAAGTAAATACAAGTAACTGAAAGAGTTTATGTATATTATTTTACTTCTCATTTGATAAAATTTGTAAAGTAATGAGCAGAGTGTATTTCTTCAGGGACCCAGATATATACATTTATTTATTCAATAGAAATTCATTCTTATAATGGCCACTGATACCTATATCCTAAATATTTCTGAAAACATCTCCTCAGGCCTGCATCACCTTTGCAACATTGCCTTATATTTTATCTTTGTTCATTGATTTATATGCCTCAGAATTTTATGCTCCTCACAGTATTTAGAGTGAATTATCCTTAATGCAAATAGATCCGTGAACCACTCCTGAATACCTAATGTCCAAGCATCTTAAAGGTTTATATAAGGATTTCAGAAACTGACTTCTGGGTTGGGCAAGGTGGCTCATGTCTGTGATCCCAGCACTTTGGGAGGCTGAAGCAAGTGGATCATTTGAGGTCAGGAGTTCAAGACCAGCCTGGCCAACAAGGTGAAACCCCATCTCTAATAAAATACAAAAATTAGCAGGTGGTAGTGGCACGCGCCTGTAATCTCAGCTACTCAGGAGGCTGATGCAGGAGAATTACTTGAACCTGGGAGGCCGGGTTGCAGTGAGCTGAGATCATGCCACTGCCCTCCAGTCTGGGAGACAGAGTATAACCTTGTCCCAAAAAAGAAAAGGAAAGGAAACTGATTTCTGCCCAAATCTCCATCTGTATCCCTTTCCCCATCTGTCTTTTTCTCTGGAATTACTGAGCTGCTGGTAATGGCCCCTCACCATTCCTCTTCTGCAGAGAAATACATACTCTCTTGGAGGCTTCTCTTCCTCTCTTGTTGCCGCCTGGCATGTGCTCACCCTTTCCTGCCCTCTGCCTCGCTTAATCTGGCTAACCTCACTCTCTAAGTCTCAGCTCATGGGTGATCTTTAGGAAAGCCATCCCTGACAGCTTCTATTTTCCTTCCTTATTCCCCAGTGCCTAACACTTAGCAGGAACTCAATAAGTAATTATTTAGCAAAATTAAGACTGTTTATACAAAGATGATTCAAAAGATTGTCCTCTACAGTCTAGCAGCAAAGGGGGTCAACATGTAAAGACATGATGTGCAGGTCAGGTGGTAAAGTGACACTAGAAAAATTGACAAGGTACTAAGGGACCCCAACGAAGCAGACACCTGTGTGTGTGGAGAAAGATAGCTAGAATCAAGGAAGATTTCACATAGCATTCTGAGCCTTTTTTTCTTCCTCTTTTTGGAGACAAGTTCTTACTCTATCACCCAGGATTGGAGTGCAATGGCATGATTGAGACTCACTGAAACCTCAGACTTCTGGGCTCGAGGGATCTTCTCATCTAAGCTTCTTGAGTAGCGGGGACAACAGGAACATATCACCATACCTGTCTAATTTTTTGTAGAGTCAAGGTTACCTATGGTTCCCAGGCTGGTCTTAAACTTTTGGCCTTGAGCAATTCTCCCATTTTGGCCTTCCAAAGTGCTGGGATTACAGATGTGAGCTATTATGCCCAGCCTACTTTCTGAGTCTTAAAAGATGAAAATAAATTTTTCAGAATAGCAGGGGAAAACATTTGTGATATAAAAAATGGGGTGCACACTAATTGAGGTATAAACAACAATAATTTTGCAAGTTATTAGTAACTGCTAACTCAATTAGTGTCTTGTTAAAAAGATACTGTTATGAAGTATAGTAAAGCATTACATTGTATATTTTGACTGTATTTCAAATTTCTGTTTTGTTTCCAACAGTTTTGTTGACTTACGTTGGGTGGAACAATTTGTGAGTGTCCCTGAGATTTTGCATGGCTTGAATCTGGTGATATCTGGTGTCTCCCCAAGTGGTTTGTTGAAGTTTTGGATAATTAGAAGTATTTCTTACAGAAGTAAATATTTCAGTAAACATTGTTTCATTCAAACTCTCAAAATATAAAATACAAAGAAATGTTATTCTCTATTTATTTTTATAAAGATTATAGTCTTTATCTAACTCTTCTTAGTTCATTTGAACTAAATCAATGAATTTGTCAACAGAACAAACCTTACCAGTGGCTTTAGAGGAAGAGCAAGAAAGGTGTGAAAGAAGTGAAAAGAAGCAATCACAGGTATATGAAAATTTAAGTTCTTGTTTAATATTAGGTTTTTTTTGCTTTACTAACAAAGCATAGTCCAAATGACATGACCTTTCAGACTATACCTTTAGAATCCAATAGATCATAATTTTATATTTAATTTTTAAAACATCTTAACCAGTTATGAAACTTAAGATATTCTTACTATCTCTAGTAACTATTAGTTATTCTAGTAATTCTTAGTATCTCTAGTAACTCATAGTTGTCTTTACCCTTGGAATTGAGGCAAGAAATTTTCAGAATTATCTTGCTGTTTTATTTATGTAACCTTACTCATAATACACAAGGTAACATGAAGTATTGGGTCATATTACTGAGGAATAGAAATTATGAACAGTTTAACAACAATGGCCACTGAGTTAAACTAGTGTTAAAGGAGTCATCATTGCCAGTGTTTCAAATGTTGCAGTTTTATATTGCTGGTCACCAGTGCCGAGGTTAAAGATTTATTCTGTTTTGTGGTCACCAGCTGACTTCTGTGTCTGTGTTCAGGGAGTGAATGGGGTCATAAAAGTCAATGCAGTTGCCTATTAATAGAATCCTACCTTGCAGAATGGGACCTTTGGTGTCAGGGTGTGAACAATAACTTTATTTCAACATAAATACATAGTAAACATTACTAAAATTTAAAAAATCCAAACCCTATCACTACCGGAACTTAAAATATATTAGAAGTGGATATAAGCAGAAATTCTATCTAGATACATAACACTATCATAGTATATCATTTGAATTAGAATTTAAAATTTTGCTTCTCTTTCTTATTGGTGTTCAGTTTAGCTCTTAATAATTTAGTGTTTGCCTAGTGCTCTAGTTCATCTTCAGAAATAAACATGCACTGTAGGGGCTCACTCTTTCTGGTATGCTGAGGTAAAGTCTTTGTAAGAGAGGAAGCTTTTATAATACTACCTATCATCTTTGAATTCATTTCTGGTAGATTTTACACAAATGCATTAAGTTTAGTCCAAACAGACACTGAGAGTTCAGCTTGCTGGTTCATGTTTCTGTCCTATGTTAAGCCAAGGCAAATTATTTTTCACTTTTTAGATACAATCCCATAATTTAAGAGTAGCAACACATAGATTAAGTTTCACAGTTAAATTTTAATTATTTTCTAATATTTCTTTGTTTATACTTGATTAAAGCTAATTTTAAAACATGCACTCTGACAGAAAAGACATCTGAGAAACAAAACAAGCAAATTTGTTTTCCATTTTGCACCTGACCCCCCCCCAAAAAAGTCTCAAGAACCAGAACTGGGTAAGAACTGTGATAAAGGGAATCTATCTATATATTCATGACTTTCTTTAAAATTCATTACAAACAAGTTCAAGCTGAATATTGGTAAAAGTTCTGAAAACTCCAAAATTACTGCTTGCCCTGAGGAAGAGCTCCTACATGGTAACTCTAAAGAGGGATGAACAAAAAAGGAGTGCCCTCTAGTGTGATGAATCATGTCCCTGATTGTGAGGAGAAAAATGTATCTGGAGGGTCTAGCTCTGTGGCAGTCCAGGCAGCGCCTGAACAGAGGAAGCCCATGTCAAATGTCTTTTTATTCCATTCACACTCCAGGTCCCTGAAATACACTTACCAGTCATCTTCTAAGCTTCATTTAAATTAAAATAAATCAGACTATAAAAATGATAACAAACCAGACACACAGCTTGTTTCTAACACAGATGATGAAAATTTTTGTTATGATATAGAAACTGAAAAAGTAAAGAACCCAGTAATTATGATTGAAATGAAAGATGATTAAGAGTTTGACATGCAAATGGAAAAATGTATAAACCCAAATACCACTAATTGGAAATTAGACATTAGGCATTGGTCTCAGTCTAGAGATCCAGAAAGTCTTTTTGATTTGTGGTTTACCCACCCCAAAGAAATGAAGCATATGATTCAGATAGAAAGCCACAGTATTTCTGCTGCTACAGATACTTATAAAAACAGAAAACCAACACAATGCTTATTCCAGAAGCCACTGAATGACAATCCCAGTGTTAATAACTACAAAACCATGAATCTTGAATTATAAAATCTGGGTTATTCTTTGCCACATAGTGAGAGAACATCAAAAAATATAGCTAGAAACTTACAGCAAGATATTTCAAGGTCACTAACATAGCACATGTGTACATACGTAACAAACCTGCACATTGTGCACATGTACCAGAACTTAAAGTATAATAATAGTAAAAAGAATGAGGTAGGCATGTTACAAGTAGAGTTCCTGGCTTTGGAGAAAGAGAAAGTCCAACTTCAAAAAGACAGAGGTTCACTTGCTGCTTCTTTTTTCTCTTTATCAATTATTTGATTTAGTCAAATTTTCTATTCAAGAAAATCCCATGTGTACAGTTACAGCGGGGTTTTCTAAATGTGTAATTATGTGTCAAAGTAGACTAGTCCTGCTATCTAAACAATGGTTCGGAGAATGTTCTCATAATGTTTGTTCATTAATCAACCTAAGTCTCACTCTCAGTCTTCCAAGTGGCATATGAGCTGGGAAACTAATTCAGCCATATACCATGTGACCTTCTGAACCAGATCAACATAAAGAAATTGCTAAAGAAATAAGCTTTAGATTCTAGATTCTTTTTACTATAGTCATTTAGAGATGAATTACATTTATTTAATGATAGAATGGGAATACAATGGGAGGGAAGCAATGACTGAGATGAGCCACAAAAACACGTCTCGCCTTGAGAGTTGCAATGAATATTCCCAGACAAATGAGTCTGTTTAATGTGTTTTCATGCATGCAAGTTTATCTGCTTAGCTCAAACTGTTTGAATTTATAGTTCCATCATGGTTATTTCCAATATTTTGAAAACAAATATATACTTCCACATATTTAAAAAAATCACCACTCCAATATTTCTGTTGAATCAGACCTTACATTATGTTGTTTAATAAAGTATGGTAAGTTTTGGCATGTATGATTTTTATCATGTAAGAAGAATAATTTCTTAGCTAAAAATTTAACCTTTGACTCTTTAGTAGAAAGTTGAGTTCTGTACACTGTGTTCTAAAGATAGACAAAAATCTAGAGATTTTCTTCTTTCAAAGTAAAAGCAGATGAGGCCTTTTTCCACCCTCTGAGGTGTTAAATTGCTTTGCTCGTTAGACTTTTAATATATCTGACTAATTTGATAAATTTATCTGGTAATTTATGTAATTCAGCAACATGGAATTGTATAATGTTATTTGGTGCCATGAAATGCTAGGGAATGCCGCCTCAAGAGCTCTGGATGAAACATTTCGTATGTCTTGGTTGGTTTGACTCCCATTTTCAGTAGATAATATGGCTTAAGTAGATAACTGTACCATATGTGTTCCACCTATAAACATTTGTGGTAACTGAATGTGAAATCTGGGAAGCATCTCGTTTTCCAGAATTCTGCACTAGGAACTCAGCAGTTTCATTCTGCTTCTTGTGTTGTGGCAAACAAACATTGGTTCCCATAGTTCAGGGAGAACTTTCACTTTTTTGATATCCCAGGATTCAAAAAAAAAAAAAAGAGATAAAAGGCAGTGGGGAAAAGAATAGCTCAGTGCAGAAAAGGGAAAACTTCTTTACTGTTCTTGAAGGCCTACAAGGTTACATCCTCTTAATCTGGCTATTTCATGTAAAATCCATGTGGCAATGACAGAAGATATATGTTATGCCTGTGTCTTTTTATTTCTCTGTTTCTGCCAGTCAACTAGCATAAACATTTATATCAGATAGCAAAGAGTGGATGCGAATAAAAGCACAAAATGGAGAAGAGTCCTTTTTGAAATTTTGGAAAATTCTTCCATTCACTCAAACAGAAATGAGCAGACTTGACAAAAATTTCAATGATAAAATGATGAGTATCTTATAATTATTATGTATAATGATAAAATTAAAGTAAGCACAAAATACTTTTATCATTAAAATGGTGATAGTTAACCTGAATCAAGTTAAAAAATCAGGGAAAAAGTTTTTTTATTGAATAAAATAATAATTATTATTCATATTACTTTTATTAAAGGTCAAAGAAGGAAATAATACAAACAAAAGTGAAAAAATACAACTATCAGAAAATGTATGTCATAGTACATCTTCTGCTGCTGCTGACAGATTAACCAAAGAAAGAAAGATTGGGAAAACGTATCCTCAGCAATTTCCCAAGAAACTGAAGGAAGAGCATGATAGGTAAGTAAGCCTATAGCAGTTTTTTTTTTTTTTTTTTTTGAGATGGAGTTCCTCTCTTGTTGCCCAAGCTGGAATGCAATGGTGTGTTCTCACCTCACTGCAACCTATGCATACTGGGTTCAAGTGATTCTCTTGACTCAGCCTCCCTAGTAGCTGAGATTACAGACATGTGCCACCATGCCTAGCTAATTTCTTGTATTTTTAGTAGAAATGAGGTTTCACCATGTTATCCAGGCTTGTCTCGAACTTCTGACCTCAGGTGTTCTGCCCACCTCGGCCTCCCAAAGTGCTGGGTTTACAGGAGTGAGCCACCGTGCCTGGCCACCTATAGCAGTATTTCTCAGCAGATAATTGTCATTGTGCTATAAACTAATTCAAAATTGGACTAATGTTCATTATGATTAACAAGTTTTATAGTTTTACCAGGGATATTTAGCCCTGCCTAGTAATCAGAAAAATGCAAATTAACATAAAATAAGATATATTTTGTAAAGTCATGCTGATATTGAAAAAGTAATTCCTACCATTGAAAATGAGAGGAAAAAGGCATTCTCATACAATGTTGGTATATGAAATTGGTAAATTATTTCTGAAGGGTAACTTAGTGCTGTTTATCAAAATTTCAAATAACCTGACATCCCTTTAACTCAACAACTCCACTTCTGGGACTAGATTTCACAGGAAAACATAACTTGTGTAAACATACACACACTTATTAAGGGCATTAATTATATATTACACATAATGAACAATAGCTTAATAAATATATAAAATATATGTAATAAGAAGGTGAACTGGAAGTATTAAGAAAGAATTAGAAAAAGTGTGGGGTAACAGATGTTAGACTCTTTAGCCTAGTTTTAGATGACAATAATCTGCAGATATAGTTTGTGTGAGAGATATCTTACTCTGTAAATCATTTGGAGAGACACCTGCAATATTTCATAGAGATGAAAATTTATTTCTAGTGAACTTATACGCTTGTCAATAAATAGTAACTTTAAAAATTTAGTTGATTGTAAATGACCTTTTCTAATCAGGTAATAATTATGACTGTGTGATTTGAAAAGGTAATTTTGAACTTCTAACTATACTGAATTATTTCCAGTATCTTTTTGTATAATACATACTAGAGTGACTAGTAATAAAAACTTTAGCAGAATATTCTTTCCTTACTAATTTTCAAGTATATGCATTCGTTTGAAGATGTTGAAGTGAGAAATTAAATATCTGAGAACTACAAAGGAAAAATAATCCAGAACATAGAAATTTTACTAGGATGATAAAGAGCATCTGCAGAGGTAGATCACAGGATGATCTCTTTATTTTTTAACAAAATGAATTTTAAGATAAATGTCTTTGTCTGCAGATGCATCTTAAGACAAGAAAGTGAAGAAAAAACAAATGTTAATATGCTGTACAAAAAAATAGAGAAGAATTAGAAAGGAAAGGGAAACAATATAAGAAAGAAGTTGAAGCAAAACAACTTGAACCAACTATTCAATCACTAGAGATGAAACCGAAGACTACAAGAAATACTCCAAATCAGATAAATAAATCTTTGGTAAAAATTCTATATTTTAAACTTTATTTTATCAATGTTACTTATAATATCCTCTTGATTTAATATATAATATTTTGGTCTAAAACAAACCAGAAATGTTATCTCATTTTTAAAAAATGAATGATGACACTTACAGGTACAATTATTTTTATTATAAATCTTGGCATCCACATAGGATATTATTTTATTACAAAGAGCTTTTGAAAACAATAATATGCCATAATATATACTTAGTGATAACCTATTGATAAAGATTTTGTTCCCAGTAAAATTGTTCCTTGTACTTCCCGCCATTTCATATTGATTACTGTACCTAATACTATAAAGAGGAAACAAATTATTGCAATCACAAATAATCTCATGATATTCTAAGAAGAGCTCTATAAATTTTATCTTATTTACCATTGGTGTTTTGAAATAAATGTTTTCTTTCGTATTGATACATTTACACCACAGAAGTAACTGTGATCTGTCAGAGAACTAGAAGTAGAGTAAGAAGTCCTGGGGAAAATCCTGTAGCTTGCTTATATTTTTAACATTTCTTTTTCAAATTTGTGGTAACTAGATGGGTTCATCAATGAATGTATATAGGAGTGACTAGTATAATGTCTAGATTTATGATTTAGTAAATGTAATTCTTTCAACTGACTATAAAAGTGTTAAAAGAGTCAAATTAAAATAGAATGTTATCAGTGAAACAGAACTGTAATAACTCTGAGAAATTTTATCTGTCCAAATATGTGTGAACTAAGGTTCTTACTATAGGGTGGTGTATGGGTTAGATATCAAAGTGTAAATGCAATTTTTTGATATATTTTAATTTAGTCAAATTTGTTAATGCTTTAATTTATGCTTTTGAGTTTGTTGTAATTCAGGGAAAGGCTTTTCCAATTCTGAAATTCTTAAAAATTCTCTGGTGTGCGTGTGTGTGTGTGTGTTTACTTTTATAAATTCATTGACTTTAAATAAATTTCTGAACTTTTTGGAACTTATGCTCTATAAAGTTCAAAGTTTTGCTTCAACTTTTTCTCCAGTTGGATATCCACTTACAGTAACCTTTTTAGTATATGGATGTGCAGGTTATTCTTTAACTTCAGAGGTAATCATGATATTTTATTGAGTACTAGCTAAAACTTTCTTTTGTTTTATTTAGGATTTTCATAATCAGGAAGAAATGAAAGATCTGATGGATGAAAATTGCATTTTGAAGACAGATATTGCTATACTCCGACAGGAAATACGCACAATGAAAAATGACAACCTGGAAAAAGAAAATAAATATCTTAAGGACGTTAAAATTGTTAAAAAAAACAAACGCTGCCCTTGAAAAGTATATAAAACTCAATGAGGAATTGATAACAAGAACAGCATTCCGGTATCAACAAGAGCTTAATGATCTCAAAGCTGAGAATACAAGGCTCAATTCCGATCTGTTGAAGGAAGAAGAAAGCAACAAAAGACTGGAAGCTGAAATTGAATCATCAGTCTAGACTGACTGCTGCTATAAGTAAGCACAGTGAAAGTGTGAAAACAGAAAGAAACCTAAAACTTGCATTAGAGTGAACACAAGATGTTTCCGTACAAGTAAAAATGAGTTCTGATATTTCCGAAGTAGAAGAATGAGTTTCTTACTGAACAACTTTCTAAAAAGCAAATTAAATTCAATACCTTAAAAGATAAGTTCCGTAAGAACAGAGATACTCTCAGAAAAAAGTCATTGGCTTTAGAAACTCTCCAAACGACCTAAGCCAAACACAGCAGCAAATAAAGGAAATGAAAGAGATGTATGAAAATGCAGAAGCTAAAGTGAATAATTCCACTGGAAAGTGGAGCTGTGTAGAAGAGAGGATATGTCAACTCCAACATGAAAATCCGTGCATTGAACAGCAACTAGATGATGTTCATCAGAAAGAGGATCATAAAGAGATAGTAACTAATATCCAAAGAGGCTTTATTGAGAGTGGAAAGAAAGACCACATGCTAGAAGAGAAAAATAAGAAGCTAATGAACGAATGTGATCATTAAAAAGAAAGTCTCTTTCGATATGTGAGAGAGAAAGCAGAAAGAGTAGTAAGTATCAAGGAAGATAAATATTTTCAAACTTTTAGAAAGAAAATTTAAACATTTGGTTCTGGATACATGTTGAACTTAGTTGAATATAAAAATCAATGGATAAAAAGTGTGTTTACCATACTGTATAATTCCATTTACATGAAGCATCCAGAAAAGATAAACGTATAGGGACAAAAAGTAGACTAATGTTTGCAAAGGGCTGGGGCTGAAAGCTGGTAGTGACTGCTAATGGGCGTCAGGGATCTTGCAGTGATGGAAATGCTGTAAAGTTTGATTGTAGAGATGGCTGCACAACTCAGTAAATGGACTAAAAATTCTTTTAACTTTAAGTTAAAACAGATACATTCTATAGTATGTAAATTATATTTCAACAAAGCTGTTTTAATAAAAAAAAAGGAAAACCGTGTTTACTATACCAGCTTAGAAACGTGCCCCATTTCTAGGAAATAAAAGGTAGAGGTGAGAGATGATTTACTTTGAGAAAAGACATTGTGTCACCTATGAAATTTTATTAGGCACAGAGTCATATTTTAAGGTAGATAGTTCTGTACTGCTGAAATAATAATTTTAATGACTTTATGTTGCCACATGTTAAGACCATAATGTAAGTATAAATGGAAATGTTTACACCTGAAATGAGTATTTTCAAATTAAAATTTAATTGATTATCTTTGACACTTAATTCTAGATTTCCCAGATGAACTGAAGTGTATTGCTGTGTCTTGTAATACCTTGCTTTAAGTAGCTTTTTATGTATTTTAGTTGGTATATCTTTGTTATTAATCATATTAATTTAACAAATCTGAAAATATGTCAAATTACATATTTTTATGACTATGTAATGTTTTAAAGGCACCTACTTGTTATAAAATCATAATTTAGGATACATGTGGTAATATTTAGCAAAACTATATTTGGTTTAGTCTTCCCACTGGTATTTATAGTTTACTTTGAATATTTATATTAATAATTAGCTCCTAATTTTTATTTCAAGGCTTAATGACTATCATTGGAATATAATTTTGTTCAGTACAAAGATACTTGTAGCTGCCTGTGATTTATGAGTAAGGCATTAGATCCCTATTTTCAGACAGAGGGGTGGCAGGCTTCACGTACAGTGGGAATGGAGTAATTACAGGAGGGAGTTGTAGGAGCTTTGAAGTCAGAGAGGGAGGTAGAGACCTGTTTACCTAGGACCTCAAAGGCCATTGGAATTTTACTTTTATTCTGAGATAGGAATCTGTTGGAAGGATTTGAACAGGTGATTGAATATGTGAGGAACTTTGAGGTTGAGTTGAGCTTCTAAGATGATTGAATGGTGGGATGAATCTGTTATGTAAGTAAGAGAATACCAATTTGGCAGGAAGAGAACATATTGTGCATCCCTCACTGAATTCAGTAATAAATAAAAATGTGTACATGTGATTAAAAGAAGGTGAATTGATATGTGTGGTGATAATTTTCAAAGTACGTATGTTAGAGTTAAATATTATTAACATAATTTAATAAGGCAATTTATAAAATCAGTAACAAAAATATTTTCTCAGGTGGTTGTGAGACAACTTCAACAAGAAGCGGCTGACAGCCTAAAAAAATTAACTATGTTAGAGTCTCCACTGGAAGGTATATCACATTATCACATTAATTTGGATGAGACACAGGTCCCAAAGAAGAAATTATTTCAAGTGGAAAGTCAAGTATGTATGGAACTTAGCATGTCAACTGTTATTCTGTAGCTAGTTGAATTACATAACATGTTTTAGGATACGAATTATGGCAGAAGCTTGATTTTTTATTTTCATTACAATGAATTATTTCCACTTTACTATCTCTATAATGTACTTATTTTTTTATATTGTGACTTTCATTCTACCATTTTGAAAAACCATTGCATACCTTTTCTCTTACAATACGTACCCTTGGAAAAGTTGAGAATTATATATCATTCCTCATAGAAAACTGACTTTTGTCCTGTTAAAACAGTATTTTTAAGTAATTTTTGTATTGCTCTGATGAGGCAGGCCAGATTAAATCAGAGAAGAATGTTTCATGGAATGTTCCAGAAAATTGTCTTATTTCTTCACTTTTGTGAGTGGACACAGAATCTGTGTCTATTTATTTCACAGATTCTAGGTTAACTTGTACAGAAAGGCCATTATACTATTCTTTTAAAAGTGCATGTTTTAGGTTAATTTACAAACTATTTGAAAAGTTAGGCATTTTCTTTATCTTTTATTTAAAATATACTATAAAACTGTGGAAATATTTAAATTTGAGATAACATGTACATCAAAAATTGAGAGTTGAGAAAATTATCTTGATCCTGCCTTCGGATTTTAAAAACAGTTACACTGAGATATCATTCACATTTGAGAGAGTTCAACCATTTAAAATGTACAACTCAGTATCTATTAGTAATTCACAGCATTTTCATCACCCTGAAAAGCAACGCTACATCTCCTAGGCATGACTGCAGCCTTCCTCCATGTCCCTCCACCTACCTCTGTTGTAGGCAACCACCATCTATCTGCTTTTGTCTCCATATGTTCGCCTGTTCTGCCTATTTCATATACATAGAGTTATACAATACGTAGTCCTTTGTGACTGGCTTTTTCACTTAGCATAATGTTTTCAGAATTCACTTAGCATAATGTTTTAGCACACATTGGTAGTTTATTTCTTCTTACAGTTAAGTGATATTCTATTCCATGTCTATACTGGTTTTCCATTCATTCATCGGTTGATGGACCTTTAGGTTAGTTTCCACTGTTTAGCTCTTATGAAAAATGCTGCTGCGAACATTCACTTACAGGTTATTATGTGGACACGCGTTTTTATTTCTCTGCCATTGGACTTTATCCTCAGAGTTAATTGGGCAGATTTCAGCACTTGTCTTGCTCATGCTATCCTTTCTGCCTTCTCAGTTTCTATTCATCTAGCCTCATTCACTCAGAAGTGGCAGACAATTTATTGTTTTCATGAAGCTTTCTCTGAGTGTTCTCTCATTGACCTTATGTGTTAGCAATCGTTGTCTAGTCTTTGCAGAAAAACTTAGTTCTTAATTTTACATGGCTTTTATTTTTTTATGGAAGATAGTTTTCTCTCATTATAAATTTGCTTAATGGGGGAATAATATATAATATGTGTGCCACCTATCCTTGCATACATTGAAAATATTTTAGCTTAGAAGTTTGTAGCATACAATTCAATACTTTATACCATACCAATTATTTCTTCTTTGAGACCTTGACACAGTAAGGTTTATATTCTAAGTGTGTTTTTAGCAATTAAATATCAAAGCCAACCCAATTAGTCTAATACAGGAGACTCGTTCAATCACATGTTTATGTTTTTCTCTCTATGAAAAAGAATCTAAATTGGCCTTTTTTCACTATGCAGCAGAACTGTGTTTCTGGACTGCTACCAGTTTGTCAGCTGAACAGTTCTGGGTGCAGCTTGTCCGATGACGGATAGCACAGCCCCTCAATATGAGTGCTCAGCAGAGTGCTTGTGAAGGCAGCACCACAGCAACAGTTTCTCAGAGGGAACGGATTCAGGAGCCTTGATTTAGCAATAGAGTCCAGGGTTTTCAGCTCAGTGTCTTTAGCCTGTCTCTGCTGGTCATGTCAGTTATGTACTATTCAATCCAGGAGGTGCTGTTTACATTGTAGTACATACATAGTCATTGCCTAATGAGTCATACAGAGAGAAAAGTAAGTTATAAATTATGTCCCCCATTTGCTGCAACTCTCAGTGGTAAGAATGATTCAGTGCAGCTATAGGAGAGTACTTCCATTGGCATGCCACCTGCCTAAAATACACAATTTTGTTAAGATATACAATAAAATTATTATGCTAATAGCAAATATTTTATGTAGCTCACTATGTTCCACGTAGTCTTCTAAGTGTTTCATGTTAGTCCCCAGTTAAACACCTGGTTTTGGAAGGCTGAAGCAGGAGGATCGTTTGAGCCCATGAGTTTGAGACCAGCCAGAGCAATATAGTGAGACCCTGTCTCTAAAAAAAAAAAAAAAAAAAAAAAAAAAATTAAACACTTATCTGAGGCATGGTGGTGCACGCCTGTAGTCCCAGCTACATTGGGAGGCTGTGGTAGGAGGGTCGTTTGAGCTTGGAATATTGAGGCTGTAGTGAACAGTGATCAAGCCGCTGCACTCCAGGCTGGGTAACAGAGGGAGACTCTGTCTCATAAATAAAACGTTTTGTATAGATTCCCATAGAAGTGAGTTAGACATCAGTCATAGAATTATTAGCCACTTTGATGTCTACCTTGGGAGTAAAACATATAATAAGGGGCAGCGTTAAACCATCTCAATCACTAGCCTCCAACTTCTCGAGAAGGTTCTTATTTCATGAATTTCTACACAAAAGACTACCTGGATTAAGACATTTGGTGGACACCATTTTGAGATGAAGAATCTTGAGTGAGAAGAAGGGAGTTCTCTACTTACTGAAGCTTCCCAATGACATAGTTAAGTGTCCCCCAAAAGAAACTTTAGAACAAGACTTTCATCATGCCATATCTCTATGGAAAAGGAATTTCTTTAAAAGAAAACAAAGGCAAACAATTGATAATATGATTCTCATGGGAAAGTTTTCATCATAAAAGAAAAAGAGGGCTGGGTGCCGTGGCTCACGTCTGTAATCCCAACACTTTGGGAGGCTGAGGTGCGTGGATTAGCTGAGGTCAGCAGTTCAAAAACAGCCTGGCCAACATGGTGAAACCCTGTCTCTACTGAAAATACAAAAATTAGCCAGGTCTGGTGGTGTGCACCTGTAGTCCCAGCTACTTGGGATGCTGAGGCAGGAGAATCACTTGAACCCAGGAGGTGGAAGTTGCAGTAAGCCGAGATGGTGCCACTGCACTCCAGCCTGGATGACACAGTGTGACTCCATCTCAAAAAAAAGAAAAAAAGAAAAACAAAAAAGGGACAAAGTATACTGGTCCAAAAAAGAAGAAAGCAAGAAAAAAAGGACAAAGTATACTGGTTAGTATCATAACAGTGAGATAGTCCCCCTTTGAGATTAGAAAATAACAGTATACTCAAAGTAACATTAATGAGAACCAACATAAAATAGACAACATTCACTATCTACAAAAGTAATCTGCACCAATTAGCAATGTATGAGCATGTGGTTGAGAATATTTTCTATAATATGTGTACTAGAAGGAAGAGACCTCAAGAAAATGGTCAGAGCTGGAAATGTAGATTAGGGAATCTAGGTCAAAGTTTTGAGATTTTAGGAGTCCTGAGAGAATTTAAAAAGAGAAATAGCCACCAGGCATGGTGGCCACACCTGTAATCCCAGCACTTTGGGAGGCCAAGGCAGGAAGATCATGAGGTCAGGAGTTAAAGACCAGTCTGGCCAACAAGTTTCTTATATAGGTAAACGTGTTCCATGATGGTTTGCTGCACCTATCAATCCATCACCTAGATATTAAGCCCTGTGGGCATTAGTTATTGATCTTGATGCTCTCCCTCCTGACCCCAACAGGCCCCAGTGTTTGTTGTTCCCCTCCCCGAGTCCATGTGCTCTTATCGTTCAGCTCCCACTTATAAGTGAGAAGATGCAGTGTTTGGTTTTTTCTTCCTGCATTAGTTTGCTGAAGATATCAGCTTTGGGTTCATCCATATCCCTGCAAAGAGCATGATC